>NC_000012.12:126794134-127095758 GCF_000001405.40 Homo sapiens | reverse complement strand
GGATTAAAGACTTAAACGTTAGACCTAAAACCATAAAAACCCTAGAAGAAAACCTAGGCATTACCATTCACGACATAGGCATGGGCAAGGACTTCATGTCTAAAGCACCAAAAGCAATGGCAACAAAAGACAAAATTGACAAATGGGATCTAATTAAACTAAAGAGCTTCTGCACAGCAAAAGAAACTACCATCAGAGTGAACAGGCAACCTACAAAATGGGAGAAAATTTTCGCAACCTACTCCTCTGACAAAGGGCTAATATCCAGAATCTACAATGAACTCAAACAAATTTACAAGAAAAAAACAAACAACCCCATCAAAAAGTGGGCGAAGGACATGAACAGACACTTCTCAAAAGAAAACATTTATGCAGCCAAAAGACACATGAAAAAATGCTCATCATCACTGGCCATCAGAGAAATGCAAATCAAAACCACAATGAGATACCATCTCACACCAGTTAGAATGGCAATCATTAAAAAGTCAGGAAACAACAGGTGCTGGAGAGGATGTGGAGAAATAGGAACACTTTTACACTGTTGGTGGGACTGTAAACTAGTTCAACCATTGTGGAAGTCAGTGTGGCGATTCCTCAGGGATCTAGAACTGGAAATACCATTTGACCCAGCCATCCCATTACTGGGTATATACCCAAAGGACTATAAATCATGCTGCTATAAAGACACATGCACACGTATGTTTATTGCGGCATTATTCACAATAGCAAAGACTTGGAATCAACCCAAATGTCCAACAATGATAGACTGGATTAAGAAAATGTGGCACATATACACCATGGAATACTATGCAGCCATAAAAAATGATGAGTTCATGTCCTTTGTAGGGACATGAATGAAATTGGAAATCATCATTCTCAGTAAACTATTGCAAGAACAAAAAACCAAACACCGCATATTCTCACTCATAGGTGGGAATTGAACAATGAGATCACATGGACACAGGGAGGGGAATATCACACTCTCGGGACTGTTGTGGGGTGGGGGGGGGGAGGGATAGCATCGGGAAATATACCTAATGCTAGATGACGAGTTAGTGGGTGCAGCGTACCAGCATGGCACATGTATACATATGTAACTAACCTGCACAATGTGCACATGTACCCTAAAACTTAAAGTATAATAAAAAAAAAATATTAAAAAAAATACCAGGGTGAAAATGCAGGCTATAAAATAGACAGTTTTTCAAGTAAAATTCTGACACTATAAAGAGGGCATCTGGCATATATTTTGATGTGAACTAGGATAACCCCTTAATTCTTCTTTGTATCAACTGCAACAGTTGTAATAAATTGATGACCTTACATTCCCATTCATTTCTTTTTATTTTTTAATGCTTTTCCTTTTATTAATAATTTAAAAAATTGCATCGCTGGATAGATTACATGGAACATTCCCATTTATTTCTAAGTTTTTTAAAAGGAGGAACTGGTTTTTCTAATTTATCTCTTTAACCTTATTGTCTAGGTCAGGATGTAGACCATAAAAGTTATCAATAATGTTTGTTGACCAGATATACAATGAGTAAATTCAGGAGCAGTCTATTCAAATATGCTGTTTTAAGCATCGCCCCAAAACACGAATCACTAGTTAACTGAGAAATCCGTCATTAACATCACCAGTTGAAGGCAGCTTCTTCAACTAATTTGAGCAGGAAGACACTCCTTTTTCCTATATTACCTCTTAATTAATTCAAAAGCAGCATCCCAGGAAACAATTATTTATAAATCAACATTAGTATGTGACACACAAATATAAGGAGAAAGTATAATATAGCATTTAATTAAAAAAGAGCACCAAGTTAGAAACAATTCCAAGTATTCTCTTTTTTTTTTTTGAGAGGAGTCTCGCTGTGTCGCCCAGGCTGGAGTGCAGTGGCGCAATCTCAGCTCACTGCAAGCTCTGCCTCCCGGTTTCATGCCATTCTCCTGCCTCAGCCTCCTGAGTAGCTGGGACTACGGGCGCCCGCCACCACGCCCAGCTAATTTTTTTTTGTATTTTTAGTAGAGACGGGTTTTCACCGTGTTAGCCAGGATGGTCTCGATCTCTTGACCTCGTGATCTGCCTGCCTCGGCCTCCCAAAGTGCTGGGATTACAGGCGTGAGCTACCATGCCCAGCCCCAAGTATTCTTATAAGAAATTCACAGATAGCAGAAGAGGATGTTCAGAGTTAGATAAGAAACACTACCCGTAAGACAATTCTTGGAATTAGGTTACAAGAAAAAAATGTATCTACTCTGTCTCTAGGCAAGTAATTGATTTTTTGGCAAATCTATTGTAGAACTAAGTTTTAAAGACATAGCTTGACAAGAATGACTTCTATTTGAAACAAATCCCTTATGAATCTTTTTTTCTCCCTCACCCCCAAAAAACAAAAGGCAATTCAGAAGTCTGATCTAATCTCCAATAAATGCATTTTGTGTTTAGTAAAGTTGTTAAGTATAGTAACAATAAGCTCGACTTTAGACTCGTGTAATGCACTCTGAGTGACAAGAAGTGGCCAATTTGGGGAATAAATGCTATGGGCAGAGACAGGAGTCTGTACACTTTCCAGCACTTCCAGAGAAATTTAATCAGTGTTCAGTGTCCCTGCTAAGGTAGAAATGAGAATTCTTGAAAGGAGCTTATTCTAAATTCCCACTCCCATTATCCAATAAAATATACTTATTCTGTTAACATTCCTAGCTTGTCATTTATTGATAGCCAGTGGTTAAGATGGCAGAGAATACAGAAAATAAATTAAATTCCCTAGTACATAAGATTAAGTCACTACCCTGCTCAAAAGCAACCCAATGGCCTCCCACTGACCTTATCATAGAAGCCCCACTTTTCACCATGGCCTTTGGGAATCTTCCTCATTTAGCCCCAATTAAATCACCTTGTTCCCCATTCTCTCCCTGTTCTCATTTTGTTCTAGTCATACTGGACTTCGTTCTGTTCCTCAGGCAGGCTGGGTTTCTTCTTAACTCAGGCCCTTTGGGGTGATCATTCATTTTTCTTGGCATGATCTTCCATTCCACCTTTGCTTGCCTCTTGGTCTTCATCTGGGTGTCAGCTCGAATACTCCCTCTCTGGAAAAATTTACCATGACCACTCATATTCCCTACCCACCACGTTGCATTCCTCCATACCCACCTGCACTATTGTCACATAGTATTTGTCTTTTTCCAAAATTATTTTAACACTTGTGTCTGTCTCTTCCAGCAAATTGAGTTTAATCTGTCCTGGTCAGCACAGAAGTTTCAGAACCTAGAATACTGCTGGCCCATAGTAGACCCTCCAGTAGCATTTGTGAGAATGATATGAAGGAAAGGAAAATAACCATTAAGAGCAGATGGATGAATTGTGATATAATCATACAGAAAAACACTCTACAACAACAAGAATAAATTATCCATAACTACATGTACCAGAATGCTATGCAAAGGAAGCCAGGCACAAAGCAATATATGCTGCAAGTCTTTTGCATGTCACAACATGGTGAAGAAATAAATATATAGTATATACTGTATGACTCCACTTACATAAAATGCAAACACAGGCAAAATTAATTCGTGTTGTTTGTAGTCAGGATGGTGATTCCCTTTGAGAGGACAGGAACAGGAAGGAGCATGGGTCAGCCCAGTCCTCAGTTGCCTCCTGAACTGGAGCTGGCGGACCAGGCGTGATTGCTTTGTGAGTAAGCATCAAGCTTTCTACACCTGTTATACTTTAATTAATTTGGCCTGAATTCAATATTGCATTTGCTACTTAAGCTTTAGATATTTTTTTCCATTTGGCACATCTGTGATGTCCAAGCTTTTCATATATATATATATATAATTGTATATACACATACATTTTATATGTGTATATATAAATATAAAATATATAAAAATTTACATAAATATACAATTTTATATGTAATGTATGAAATGTTTATATGAATGCATATATGCATACAAATAACATATAAGTAAAATCCATAGTAAATGTATATTTATTTAATAATGATATTAATTCATTTATATGTAAAACATAAATAAAATATATAGGCTGGGTGTGGTGGTGGCTCATGCTTATAATCCCAGCACTTTGGGAGGCTGAGGTGGGAGGATCACTTGAGGCCAGGAGTTTGAGACTAGCCTCGACAATAGTGAGATCTCATCTCTACAAAAAAATTTAAAAATTAGCTCGGTGTGGTGACGAATGCCTATAGTCCCAGCTACCAGGGAGGCTGAAGTGGGAGGATGGCTAGAGCTCAGGGGGTGGAGGCTGCGGGGAGCCATGATTGCACCACTGCAGTCCAGCCTGGGTGACAGAACAATGCCCTGTTTCAAAATAGAAACAGATGATAGATGGAAGGATAGATAGATAAACAGACAGACAGATAGATACAAACAATAGATGGCTGGCTAGCTAGATAGATAGATACAGACAGACAGATAGATACAGACAAACAATAGATGGCTGGCTAGCTAGCTAGATAGATACAGACAGACAGATGAGAATTCTATCTCCTCAGGAAAACATGTTTTTTGTTTTTATTTCATGATGATAGGGTAATTATCCTCTTCGAATTATGTTTGTCCTTTTGTTGAAGTAAACTCAGGTGTGTCGGGTGCTGGGTTGGAAGAAATTGGAATGGTTTCTCCTTCTCTCCAGGCCTCTGGAGGATAGGCCATCCTAGTGGTGCTGCTCCATTCTGTTAGGAGCCCTCAGTGTTCTGCAGAGACTGACTCTGAGCCAATCTTTAGAAGAGGGTGGGAGTGCGCTCCCCATGGAGCCGTCAGCCATAAAGCCATAGGCTGCAAGAAGCCTGTGGTGTTAATCTGGAACCAAGCGAACAATTAGAGAAGGAAATTTCTGCCCAGGGCAATATGGGTGGGTATGGAGAAATGGACCACTCTTAACATACAATTATGTGAGCAAACGTGTGAAACCCCAGCAATGCTACTTCTCCAAATTATCCTAGGGTATATGTGGGTTTAAATATTCAAAAAATATTCGAAGACTACAAACAATGCAATTATCAAATACATATATACAATAGCAAGAATAGTAATTAGTTTAAATGTACGCAATAGGAAACTAGATACACAAAATAGAAACGATTCATATGATGAAATTCAATAAATGCATTGAAACAGATGTGTAGAAAAGTATTTAATACACAGAAGGGTTCATGAGTTATTGTTGAATGGAAACAGGCTACAATGCGGCATGTCCAGCCTGATAATTACAGGTATGTATTTATAAGAAGTAACACAAGCATAGAGGAATATATAGTAAAAATGGTTCTTCTTGGTGAGTGTATAATTGATATTGAAATATTTACTTCCCTTTTTATTTTGTAAATTTTTGACGATGGTATCTTTTATATTCACAAAAGAGTATATGAAAGTCATTATTTTTGTAATAAAGTATTTACAACTATTGATCTGAGGCTACAATTAAACTGTATTGGGGTGGTAATTTAAAAAGCATTTTAGGTTGAAATGTCTTTTTTTATTTATTCTTTTTGCATTTATACAAGCACGCTTCCCTTTATGGTCTATTTGAAAAATAGAATCTTGACTCTACGCCATGTTAGTTATATTTCTATTTTATTATTTGTGTGTGTGTGTGTGTGTGTGTGTGTGTGTGGTTTTTTTTTTGAGACGGAGTTTCACTTTTATTGTCCAGGATGGAGTGCAATGGCATGACCTCGGCTCACTGCAACCTCCACCTCCCGAGTTCAAGCGATTCTCTTGCCCCAGCCTCCCAAGCAGCTCAGATTACAGGTGCACCCCACCAGGTCCGGCTACTTTTTTGTATTTTTAGTAGAGGCAGGGTTTCACCATGTTGGCCAGGCTGGTCTCAAACTCCTGACCTTAGGTGATCCACCCGCCTCAGCCTCCCAAAATGCTGGGATTACAGACATAAGCCACGACGCCCGGCCTTCTATTTTGTTATTGCTATGTATAAATAACTTACACATTTCACAGTAAAATATACCAGTGGTTAAGTTGACTTCTCATGGCACCGATCAATCATTTAAAACAATAAGAAAAACTAAAATTTCCTGGCCCCAGTGAAGGGAAAGTCACTAGCTGCTGGAGCACTGGATAAAAGCCTACTGAAGCATGTAATTAAGGGATATTCCAAAATTCAGAAACACATCTAGATTTACCAGCCCATGCAGAAACCAATTTGGTCCCAATGAGTCATACTGAATGACGGTGTCTTAATTTTGGTCTTGCAACCAAATCCGAAGGTTACAGGTAGGTAGGCCTGAGCTGGGCAGGAGAAGGCTCTCCCCCTACCCACTAGAAATGTCAGGGGATGGTTGGGCAGTTTTCGAACTGGCTCTCTAAAAATGATAATTCTAGCCGGTCGCGGTGGCTCACAACTGTAATCCCAGCATTTTGGAGGGCTGAGGCAGGCAGATCGCCTGAGGTCAGAAGTTCAAGACCAGCCTGGCTAACATGGTGAAACCCTGTCTCTACTAAAAATACAAAAATTAGCCGGGATTGGTGGTGCATGCCTGTAATCCCAGCTACTTGGGAGGCTGAGGCAGGAGAATCGCTTGAACATGGGAGGCGGAGGTTGCAGTGAGCTGAGATCGCACCATTGCACTACAGCCTGGGCGACAAGAGTAAAACTCCATCTCAAATAAATAAATAAATAAATAAATAAATAAATAAATAAATAAAATAAAGATAATCTAGCAGCCAGGGACAGACAATGTCCTAATGGTCCACACCTGTTAACATTTAAAGTGTTAACTGAATGCAGGCCCCAGGGAGAAACAGATTCCTGAGCATGCATCTTAGAGACAAAAATGGCGGAGTATGGTCTCCCGGGTGCACCCCACTGGAAAAAAGAAAACCTCCGATGGGCATGCATTTAACTCCCTACACACACTGCGCATGCTCAATTCCAAAGGGTCAGGCGGGCTCTGCGCATGCCGGCAGCCCACCCTATGGGAGGAATCATGGGAAAGAGGCCCGCTTATGAAAGTCCTAGGATCCCAATTAAATGGGGCACTTGACCTCTGTTAAACCTTCCCGTGCCCATTTGGGTCTCTTCCAAGGGCACCGTCCTTTCTTCCTTTTCCAAAGCCTTTAAAATAAACTTCCATTCCTGCTCTGGAACTTGCCTCGGTCTCTTTCCCCACTTTATGCCCCTCAGTCAAATTCTTTCTTCCGAGGAGGCAAGGACCGAAGTTGCTGTGGACCCTTAAGGATAGGCTGCCGGTAACTTGGGGTGACTCGGATCTTTGCCACTAGTAACACCATTGCAATTTATTTCCTGCCTGAAGAAAAGATATAAATCACACTGTTCATAATGTTGCATTCTCCCTAATAGAAATTATTTGAAACCTATGTACGTACTTTTCATTGCTAGAAAGAGGTTAATTAATACAGTGGCTGGATCACAGTTATCAATATCACGTTTCAAGAATCCTGGGAAGTCTGTTGTAGTTGAGCGTACTTTTATAAAATCCCAAGTCAAGCTTTTAAACTGAGTCCCACTGTCTGGTCAGTGGAAAATAAAGTCTCATTTGTGGTTTTTGGCTTTTCTTCCTGTTATCTGTGGTCCCTGAAACCACTCTAGCAAAAGGCACCTGAGTGGAGGAGGCTCATGGGTTAGCAGCACTGATAAGGATGGAGCAAAATGGATTGACATGCATCACCCAAAATTCTTAACTTCAGCTGTCAGATGACAGAGAAAGAACCTTGAACACAATAATTGCCTTTTTCCGCTCAGAGCCTCAGTAACATTTTTTCTAACGTAGAAAGTAGAAATCGGCATGCTAGTTTGAGATTTTTATATAAAAGGTCATCTGTCCACAGCAAAGCAAACCTGGGTACCTGGAGGTGATAATTACCTTCTGGCACCACAGCCTCCTGAGATTCGCTCAGGCAGGCTTTTATTTTCACTTCCTTGAAATTCAAGGTACAGTAACATGTGGGGCCTCTGAACTTAAACACCTGGTTTCCTAATCTATGTTATAACCCAGGCAGGGGAAATGGTTACTTACTGTTAAATGTGGAATTTTTATCTCAGACACAGAGCCAGCAAAATGTTATTTATATTTTTCAACTTGGGATGCTCCATGATTGAGTCAGGAAAATGCCTTATTATAAAAGAGGGAATAAAGTACACAAGTCATTATGACTCCTATTGATAAAAGGACTTCAGATGACTTTCCTTCAGCAAATTCATTTAAATCTAAACATGGACAAGATTTCACAAAAAAGTGACATTTTCTTCCTCCTTGCTCCTGACCTTAATAAAAATAATTTCTTATCCGCATTTATTTCTGCAAATAAAGAACTAGTTATGGAGAAGTCCCTAGGCACAAGGCATCTGTAGGATCCTGTCTGTAGGAAGCATCTTATGAGGAAGCCTGAGACACAAGCATTGCCCTGAATAGACAACCTGTCTGAGCCTCCTTTCCATCATCTCTAAAGAGGATAATGATGGAATCCCCTGACTCTGGCACGTGTGAGGATGCACACAAAGTGCAAGGCAGGTATAAAGACACAGTAGAGCAGGCTTCGTTTTGTGTTTTCATTGATTGTGGCTCTTGTCCCAACCACCTTCCCCACCCAGCATTGATTAATTGTAATGAATGAGAAACATCTTGCATTTGTTGAAAATATTGCAACCCTTACATGGTGCCTTTAAATTTTGCAGGTGTGAATTATTCTTTCACAGAAGAAAGTCTAAGGGCAATCTGGACAGCATCTGTGTTTTGATGCAGGTTTGTACCCGTATGGTGTAATATAGAGTTGCAGAGAAGACGCCCGTGGACCTTTGGTGGCAGTTTCACCTGGGTCAGGAGTTGCTGTGTTAAATTCTCTCCTAGGGAGAGTCTAAAATGAAGCTATTGGGTTGTCCAGCATCTGGCACCGGGCCCAGCCCAGTCAATGGGGTATTAATTAAGCATTCATAGAAGAAACAAACACACTGCCCATGATTTTCCAGAATTTTGAAAATGTTTAAGTCTAATGAACAGTGAAAATAATATGGAAAATAATAATAAGATAGGTGGTAGACTTTCAGTAAATATGAGCAATAGACTTTTGACAGTTAAGGATACCTAAAACTTCTCTAATCTTCTATAAAAATTATTTTTAAATCTTTTGAGTTGTGTGTGTGTTGGTGGAGAGTTTGTGGCAGAGATTGACGATAACTCATCCGTACACTTAGTGAATCATGACTATGACTTTGATCATCCTACTTTAGAATGTAGAGGAGATAAACCCAAGGTTGTGCTGCTTGTTTCAGAAGCTGAACTACCAGGAAAATAGAATTTATCCATCTTGGTCTTTACTATGTGCCCAGAATAGTGCCTGTCATGTAATAGGTGCTTAATAAATATTCAGTGACTTAAATAAGTTTTTTAAACCTATTATTATGAGTACGTCTATTGATTGGGTTGTTTCTGCAGCATTTGCATCTTTGTCTTCTGGGCATCCTCACGTCAATTTCATATGGGCCTGAGTCTGATTTCTTTTTTGTGACAAAAGTTGCTTTAAAAAATAACTGAATATGCCAGTGAAAGATGAGTGTTTAGGAAGTGGAGGAGGTTGTGTGACTGGATGTCAGTGGCCATCCAGGGAAGGGCATGTCTCACCAAGTTGGCGAGCCCTGCAGGAATTACCTGTGGACCAGAAGTGAGTGTGGATGGATCCGTTACATTTTATCCCATGGAATGGGGAGGCATGTAAAATAATTCATAGGTTGCCTTCTGCTGAGGGAACGCAGACATCTGCCTTTGTCTAGATTGAGAAGGGTGTGAATAACCAGATCTTGGTGGAAAGCTGCTGTTTTCTTTAGAATGTAAACGAGATAAAATGGATCTGTTCTCAATAATAATTATTACTTAGATTGTGTCTGGAGTTTTCCACCCTGCCTTCTACTGGATGGAATCCATTTTCATGTATTCTTCAAACTGTGACTCAGGATTCTCACTACCTCTTTCCTTCCTTTCCTTGTTTCCTCTACTTTCTTCTCTTCCATCTTTCTCTAATCCTTCTCCTCCTATTCTTTACCCAATTATGTTATGTGATGTCTAAGCACCCCAAACTGCACTGATTTAGGTCATTGCAGGTTTAATGTGTCTTCTTCAAATAGTATTTTTTTTTGTCATTGTCACTCAAGTATCTGTGAGCTCAGTAACACAGAAGACTTTGTAAGAACTCTCATGTAAGATACCTTTTATCAGACAGAAATATGGTGTTGGTGAAAATCTCTCAGCATATATGTTGGCTTGTAGTATAGCTACCACATGCCAACAAGGTTGGACCAGTAAAGTTATAGGGCTTATTGAGAGCTCATGTATCCATCCAGTGGCTCCCAAACCTTCATGATTTGAGTTACCTGGGAAGTGTGTGCAGCACACAGATTTATACATACTGCATCAGAATCCCCCAGAAGTTGACAACTGCAAAAAGTTCTCCACAGATGATGCCAATGCTTAGCCAGAGTTAGGGATCACTGTCTGTGCTAAAAGGGACTGAATTTTCCCAGAAGAGGATGTTATTTTCCCTCATTGATAGACTTTGCTACTTCTGACCTTGCAACTTACCACAAGGTTTTCCTGCTGGTGGTCAGGTCAGCTCTCTGCTTCGGATAAATTATACTTCCCTGGAAATAGATGCTAGAACAATCACTTCAAGTATGCTACTCATCATGTGAAAAATGGTGGAGCTCCACTGTAAGAATGAACCAATGGAGGCAAGGTATTTATATCAAAAAGAAGCAATTAATTGCTCAGGGTAATCCCAGCAATCAAAACTAGGTTCCAATAAAGCTGCAGACAATTGAGGATGCCTGTGAAAATCATTTTATTCCATCTCTTCCATCTCAAGTGGTTTCCTATCTTGATTGACATCCTGGGAGTGTTTAATACATGCAGATGTGCTCTTTTACCTAAAATACCAGGATGTATTTCATTGTTTGCCTAGCTAATGCTGTTGTAAAAAAAAAAAAATAGAAAAAAAAACCCACTTCGAGTGGCATAATACAAACCTAACAGCTAAATCCAGAGGAATTTTATAAAATGCCAAGCTTGAAAAGATTTAATTATATTGTTATGACTAATTGCATAGTGCAATACTGTGAGTATAGTACTTATTGTTTTTGGGAGTTGTTTTCCTTCCTTTCTAAATATACTATTTTAAGAGCAGTTATAGGTTTATAGAAAAGTTGAGTAGAATGTAAAGAAAGTTTGCACAGACTCCCTCACCCCTCCCAGGTCCCCCTATTATAAACGTCTTGCATTGATGTGGTACATTTGTTAACAGTGGGTGAGCCAATAATCATACATTATTATTCATTAAAGTCCATCATTACAGTAGGGTTCCCTCTTGGTGTTGTACATTCTACAGGTTTTGACAACTACATAATGTCATGTATCCACCACTATAGCACGATACAGAATAGTTTCACTGCCCTAAAAATTCCCTGTGTTCCATTTGTTTATCGCTCCCCACCCCCCAACCCTGGGAACCACTAGTCATTTTGCCTTGTTTTGTCTTTTGAAGAATGCCATATAGTTGGAATCAGACAGTATACAGCCTTTCAGATTGACTCATTTTACTTAGCAACATGCATCTAAGTTTCCTCTATATGTTTTTTGTGGCCTGAAAACTCATTCTTATTGCTAAACAATATTCAATTGTGTGGATGCGACACAGTTTGTTTCTATGGAATGGCATAGGTCTTTGAACTTAGTATGGAATAATGCAGACCATATTCTTTCCCAAAATAGAATTAAAAAATGATTTTTGGTGTCATTTATACTCTCGCTTTATCCTCTCATCTGTGAGCTGTCCCTTACGCCCAAATAAGTTCAGATTAATTTTAATTAAACTCTTTGGAGGTTTCTAGCTCCATAATTGAACACAAAGAAGACAAAATAATGCAGAGATGCATTCAAATAGGGGAATTTTTATTTGTGGAGATTTAGAAAATTACAGTTCTCAGAAAACATAAGTTTTGTGGTGATGGGTCAGTTTACAGTAGATCAACCCTCCCATTTAGAACAACTACATTAATTAACTGGTAAAGCACCAAAGGAAATAACGTTTGTTTAAAGCATTGCAAAGCTATCTTGTTTCCTCAGGTTTTGAGAAACATTGTCCCTAGGAGAGAAAGGAAGCACTTCAAGGTGAGCCCAGCGTTTGATTCTGCCTTATCATTGCGATATTTGCTGACTCATAAGCAGTGAAGAGTAGAAACCCGAGATGCTAAATAGAAAGTGAAACTAAAATGCAGCAAATGCCAGGCAGAGCTTTTACTGATCTTACAGTTCTGGGAAGGCTGAATGTACAGTTAAGGGTAGCCAACCTATCAGTTAGGAAGGAAAAGTGAACCTGGAAATCTCTAAACTCCTTTGATGCTCAAGATACTTCCTTATATATAATAAATAAATAAATAAAATATTAAATTTATATAAATAAATAAAGACCAAGAGGCAAAAGAATCAAGTAGGAAGCAGCAGTTAGGAGGCTGAGGAGTCAGCAGAGCCTCTGCAATCCCTAAATGTGGAAGGAAAAACAGTTGGGTTCAGAACTCAGCAAGAAACATAGCCCCGGTAAATGACTCAAGCTTTATACTAAAAGATTGCATCCTATAAGCAAGAAAAAATAATCCCTCAAGACTTACAAAAACTGAACACAAGCCTCAAGTCTTCTTAATCAGATAATAGAAAAACAAATGCAGCCTGCATACATACACACTAACTGCTTCCCAGAAGCTAAGCTCATGCAAAGCCGTTTCAAAAAAAAAGTCTTATTAAAGATTTGTTTTAAAAACTATCAGGTTTACCAAAGGAAATTACCAAACACAAGAAAAATAAAATATTATTTAAAAACCCTCATAAACATATTCAGTAACATAGATGATGAGATGAAAAATTTTAACAGAAAAGAGCACTCTATACAATTATTCAAATGAAATTCTATTACTAAAATATACAAGATTTTAATTAATAAACAAATATGTGGGCTTAACAGCGTATTTGGCAAAACTAAGATGATGATTAATGATTGGGAATACAGGCCAGTAGAAAATGGTCAGATGGAAATATAAACAGAGAGGAATCAAACATAAAAACATAGTTTAAATGGACATTAAACATATAAAAACATTTTTGGAATGGAGAAATAGCCTGACAAATGTGTGTAATCAGTGTCAAAATTAGAAAAGAGAATAGAGAAGAATATTAGAGGAGATTCTGAGAGTCTCCCGAAACTAATTAAATAAATTTTGCTTCAATTTTAATAAATCCTACAATGGCAAGGAAAATAAATACAAATAACTTGGCAGCTAGGCTAATCAGAATAAAAATGTGGAAAGAAAAAAACAGAAGAAAGAAAAATAAACATTATATTAAAAAACGAGAGTGTCTTACGACACTCTTCCACAAATATACCCAGGCTTAGAAAGCTTCCAGATAGTAGAAAAAAAAAAATACATCAATGTCACATCAACTCTTCCACAGTAAAAGAGGAAAAACGTACACAGTTTCTCTATTGTCCAGCATAACCTTGGTCCCAACACATGGCAAAAACACTATAAAAAGAGTTCAGGGCCAGGTGCAGTGGCTCACACCTGTAATCCCTGCACTTTGGGAGGCCGAGGCGGGCAAATCACCTGCGCTCAGGAGTTCGAGACCAGCCTGGCCAACATGGTAAAACCCCGTCTCTACTAAAGGCACAAATAAAAAATTGGTCAGCCATGGTGGCACATACCTGTAATCCCAGCTCCTCGGGAGGGGAGGCTGAGGAATGAGAACCGCTTGAGCCTGGGAGAGGGAGGTCACAGTAAACTGAGATTGCGCCATTGCACTTTAGCCTGGGCAACAGAATAGGTTGGCTTTATTATGGAAATGGTAGGTTAGTTTACGTTTAAAAAGCCTGTCAATATAATCACTACAGTAACAGAATTAAGCAAACAAATAGAACATGATTCTTTCACTGAAGGAGAAAAACATTTAATAAAATTTAACCCAGTATGATCAGTTACTCAGAGCTATCTGGGAACAGAAGGAAATTTCCTTAAATGTATAAAAAACTTGTTCAAAACATATGAAACAGAACCTTACTCAATTGAGGAAATATTGACATTGTTCTGCCTATTATGAGGAATGAGAGAAGGATGCCTGATATCACGACTTTACTCAGTATTTTCCCAGAGTTATAAGAACTAACAGATACAACAATTGGAAAGAAAGAGATAACTCTGCCACTGTTTGCAGATTGCAGGAGAGACTAATCCAAAATGTCAATAACGTTTGATAAAAATACAGTGAGAGGGTGGTGCCAATGTGCATCCCACCGGAGTTGCTAAAACGAAGAGATTAAAAATGCCAAGTGTTGGTGGTGACATAGAGCCACTGGAACTCTCATAGATGGCTGGGGTGTTTTGGAAAGCTCTCTGTCAGCATCCACTATGGCCAAAAATGAGCATGCACCATGACTCAGAAAGTCAACTCTTTAGTGGAATTTGACTCCACTTTACAAAAATGCTTACACATGTGAATCAAAAGACAGGTACCATTCATAAGTGAATGCTTTGACTACATGCACAAAACCATGTACAAAAGACATGAACAAAAGACATGCACAAAAACATTCATAGTGAATATTGTGATTATATGTACAAAACCATTCCTTTGCAACATTCACTAGAGCCCCAAACAAGAAACAACCCAATGTCCAATAATGATAGGGAGCATTCCTAATATGAGGTGTGGTTCTATCACGAGAATTATTGAACTACTGTCACCTGCAATAATTAGAAGAATTTTGAAAAGTTAACCTTGAACAAAAGAGGCCTGGTAACAATGAGTGCACACTGTGTGTTACTGTTTGCATAAAGGTAATGGCAAGCCAAGTCACTTGGTGGTAGAAGTCAGAATAGTCATTACTCTTTTGGAGATACTCACTGGGGGACTTGGTTAGTTCTTATGATGTTTCCTGGTCTTGGTGGTGGATATACGGTTGGGTTTGCTTGTATAAATTTATCATAGTCCATATATAATTTGATTTATGTACCTGTCTGAAAAACGTATCTTGTTTCAATAAAAAAGATGATACTTAAATATTCCTGGGCTCTATCTTGCTCAACTAAATTAGAATCCTCCAGGATGGGAGATGACTATATTTTAAAATCTCCACAGTTGACTCTGATGTGAATCCAGGTTTTGATCACTTGTGACGATGGCCCTCAAACTTGGTATGTATCAAATCATCTGGGAACTTGGTGAGACTGTGGGACCCTGAGCCTCAACCTGCTTCAAAGAGGGGAGGCACGCATATTTTTTGGTAGCTTTCAAGGTGATTCTGATACTATATACAAAAGTTTGAGAAGCACTTCTCCAGAGCCTAACATCCAGGACTCTGATTCTCAAATTGGTCGCACACTGGCATTACCTGGGAGGCTTTAAAAAAACAGAAAACAAAAACCACTGTTGCCTGTTCCCACCCCTCTCCACAAGGTGTTTCTAATATATAGCAAAGTTTGAGAATCACTGATCCAGGAGAAATGTCTCTTTTCTGCATGTGTCTGCGTTTCTGTTTTAACATCACAGAACATTAAAAAAGAATAAAATTTGTATTTAAAAATCAAATAAAAAACACTCTATACATTTGGCAGTTGATAAATATCTTTGACTGAATTTTTTTCCCGAGATCTGCTGAGTTGCTGATAGTTTCTCAAAAAAGTGCATACATAATAAAAAAATTTAAATAGGAATAAAAATTCCTATTTTTTAGGAAACCTAATATATGTATTAAGATAAAGCAGAATTGGAAAATGAATTTTATTCCAGCCTGTCTTCCTAGTAGTTTTCAAATATCTTTTGTTTCAAGTGCCATCACCTGTATTTTTCCAGAACACAAACACGTGTTCCAGAGCTCAGTTTTCCAGCTGAGTGTAGTTTACAGTGATGAAGCAGTGACTCCCCATGTGCTCCCTGTTAATCCTAAAGACACCCAGGAAACAACCATGGTCATACTGAGGTTGGAGGCAGGACTGGACTCAGGAGGCGGGGCTTGGACACTGAACCAAATTGAGGACTAGCTCAAATAGGTCGAGGCAGAGGCACCTTTCCATAAGACACACCCACCAGTGTGCCTGTGTCGGTTTACCATTGCCATGGCAACACCCTGAAATTACCGTCCCTTTCTATGGCAATGACTCCCCCAGAAGTTACCACCTGTTTTCTAGAAATTTCTGCATAATCTGTCCCTTAATTTGCATTTAATTAAAATGGGTACATATATGACTGCGGAGCTGCCTCTGAACTGATATTCTGGGCACACTGCCTATGGGGGAGCCCTGCTCTGCAAGGAGCAAGACCTCTGCTGCTTCAATAAATGTTGCTGTCTCACACCACTGGCTCACCCTTGAGTTATTTCTGGGTGAAGCCAATAACCTTCCTGGGCTAAGCCCCAATTTTGGGGCTTGCCTGCCTGCATCAATTGTCTCCATTATTTTCTTATTTCTCCCATTGCCTGGGCTCCAAATCAGCTAATTATGAAAGCAAAATATGATTTCCTTCCCCAGGAAATGCTCCAGTGCCAGAGTACACTACAGCGCCAGAGGACTAATAGGCTGAAAGCATTGTTAGCTGAGTAAATCATGCATCTCTGAGGCTAAGGGTAAATCTTTCAGCTTGGAATTCGTCATTGCTGACTTATAGTTCACGCCATGGATAGCTTAGTATCTTCACTGGAAATGATTTGGAAGAACCCATTTGTGCCTCCCGGCCTGGTTCCCTAACAAGAATTCTGGGTGGTGAGCTTCACTGGGGTGGAACACTGGTGGTGGTCTTGCATTAAAGACACAAGCTCCCATTTGTCACACAGATGTCACAAACCCACACCATGGCTAGGCATGGTTTTCATGGGAGCAAGCAAAAATAATTCCACATCATCAGGACAGAGTAAGCCTGTGTGCTCTGGCAATATTCCCTATAGGGGCGATCAATTTTTAACAGGCTGTAGGGTTGATGTTGACATTTGAGCTCTTGACCAATCTCTGAGTGTCAAAATGCTTTTCTGCACAATAATCCTTGAGAAAATGGACATTGAAACCATATTCCTGGGACCTGAGTTCTGGCTGCTCATTCACTGTGTGAGCCATCTCTTTCTCACTTTCCCTGTCTGTCTCAGTTTCCTCAACCTTAAAATGGGAATAAAAGCAGATATTTACCAAGGAGAGTAGTCGTGAACATTAAATGAGTCCATACATGGTAAGCCCTTAACAACAGGATCTGGCATGTAGTAAACACTCGATTGTCAGTTATTATTAAAATCATTATCTAGTTTAATTCTTGGCATAGACTTAAAAAATACTGAGGTTGATTTATCATGTTAGTATCTATTCACTTATCAACTTCTAGAAAGCGTAGCTGTGTTTTGATCACCCAATGTCTATTCCCCTTCCTTTTGGTAACAAGGACTGTGTGCCCTTTTGGAGATGAAACTCTCTCTACACAGGTGGAAAAGGCCAGGGGAAAATCATGTGATCCAAATAGATCACTGGGATTCTTTCTTCCTAAGCTTGAACATCAAAGGCTTGAACAAAGTTATTCATGAAATGGAAAAAAAATCCATTTAAACAAATTCATTCCTGCAGCATTGATTGCTGTGGACCATTCCTGGCTCTCCATGCATCCGTGCACTCCCTCATGGCTGTTAAACAGATCTCTTTATTCTTGATGTCCAGGCTCAGATTCTGTTGCAAAATAAAGACAGGAAGAAAGAGTGAGAGTGAGAGAGAGAGAGAGAGACTGAGAGAAAGAAATAAAGGACGAAAAAAAGGAAGGAAAGAGAAAGAATAAAAAAAGAATGAAGAAAGGCAGAGAGAAAGAAAGAAAAGAAAGGAAGGAAGGAAGGAAAGAAAGAAAAAGAAAAAAAAGAAAAGAAGAAAAAGAGAGACTCAGAAAGAGTGAAGGAAGGAGAAAGAGGCAAGAGGGAGACAGAGACCAAGAGAGGAAGGAAGGAAGGAAGAAAGGAAGGAGGACCTCCTCACACACATTCAAAAGAAGACTCACTGATAGCCTTGGGTTGTGGACTGTGGATGGAAGTAAACGAGTTTTTCCCAAAATTGTGACTAAAATTAATCTTGAATGACTAAACCGAGCATTGCTCTGTAGACCTCATGATGTTAACATTTCACCATTTATAATTTTTTTAGTGGTTTTAGAACTGCATTTTCCCCAAAAAGCATTGTCCTATGTCTTCTTCAGGGTCCCCTGGTGGACACAGCTGCAAAAGAGAAGCCTGTTTGCCAAGTGACTGGCTGAGTAAGGGGTCAGTTCCTGTTCCTCAGGTGGAGATAAGCCAGGGGGCTGGAGCTGTGGCGAGTTCTCAGTACAGCTCTAATAGAGCAGAGAGAGAGGTGACAGGGAACAGTCTACTTCAATCGCACTGGACATGTGAAGTGTTTTTCCCATGGTGATTCTTTACTGAGGTTTGATTTCTCTTACTGATTAAAAGCATAATGAAATACCAAGAAACAAACACCAAATTCAGAACATCTTTTAATTCTGAAAGGAAAAAAGCAAAATGCAATTTGGAAGCGTGAAAAGGGTCTTTAACAGCC
This sequence comes from Homo sapiens, assembly GCF_000001405.40. Taxonomy (NCBI): domain Eukaryota; kingdom Metazoa; phylum Chordata; class Mammalia; order Primates; family Hominidae; genus Homo; species Homo sapiens. Next base: position 127,077,148 of record NC_000012.12, on the reverse strand, counting down.
TCTGTGCTTTTTATTATATTTTCCTTGAGCTAAGTGTTGAATACATATTTGCCTGTTACATTATTTTTATATCTTTTTGCATGTTGATAATTTTTAATAACTTTTTCTTACCATGGAATGGGAAAACAAAGAGACTTTTATTGGCTAAGTAGTGAATAAAATAATAATTTCCAGGTGGATGGTCTTTTCCATTTCTATTAAATGAGTAACACGTTTCTAAATGAACACCATTTTATTAGATGAAACACTAAATCTCACCAAACGTATCCTTATTCACAATTTCTAAAATGTATTTATTAATGTTATGTGTGACTGGGACTTAACAACAGCTTCCATTTTTGCTCGGAGTTTTTTACTTGATCAGAAGCACAGAATTGTCAAAAAAAAATTCAAGCACTGTTTTTCACACATCTCTTGAAAACATGAATAGGCAGGAAGGAAGGGAGATCAATACATTTTATTTTTCTTTCCCATCCTCTATGAAAGTGGTAAAGAGAAACATCACTCATCCCTGCTAGTGAAAATTGGACTCTAAGTATCCAATGTTTTGCCAAAGCCAAAAAATAACTTTGAAAGTAAATTATATTCCTTGCTTTACAGCTGAGTGACCTACTGAGGATTTGTAATTAAATATGGCACCATTTTTAAATACGGAGTAGACTTCTGAGTTGAGATACTATGTTCTGGTATTCTTGTCTAAAATAGCTTCCACAAGAACCTAAATTTTATTGAAAAATACTTAACGACATCTTTTTCACAAATGAGTTTATTCAGACTGAATGCAAACGCCTTGAAGGAATACTTTGCGTTTAGTGTATGGAAAGGCATATACCTGAGATCACTGAGCAAAACGCAAAGAGCCCTAATAGAAATGTTTGTATCTGCCTAGACCGCAGGGCCTCCAACTTGTTGCCCAGAGAAGAATTAGTCCCATAAGCACCCTTATTAGGGAAGAGAAACCAGCCAGAGGCTGAACAATAGACACTGTGTGAGTAGTGAGTTGGTCACAGGAAATAAAACATGTATCTATGTCTATACTAGCTTTGAAATATAGTGATCAATAACAGCAGTCCAGGTGGTGGGGCAACCATGAATAACACAGATTCATCAAAACTCAGTGTGCTGTATTTACTTCCCATGCTGGGGAAACAAATATTTTAAAAGAGAGGGAGAGAGAAAGAAAGAGAGAGAGAGAAGGAAGGAGAGGAGGGGAGGGGAGGAGGAAAGAAATGAAGAACAAACATACTTTTGAGCATTTCATTGCCAAATAAATGCTCAAAAGTATGTTTATTTCAAATGTTATTAATCACCGTAGATTTTCCAGTGAAACTTCTTAAATTAGTTCTCTGGTGCTGCTGTAAGAAATCACCACAATCTTCGTGACCGAAAACAATACAAATTGATTATCTTACAATTCTGTAGGCGAGAAGCCATACATGAGTCTCTTTGCCCTAAAATCAAAGTGTCAGAATGCCTGTGAAACTTACGGAGGATTCAAGGGAGAATGATTTTTTTGTGTATTTTTCAGCTTCTACAAATTGCCTTTTGAGGCTTGTGGTCCTGTCCACCTTCAAAGCCAGACACAGGCACTCAAATCCTTCTTATATTTCCTCACTCTGACCCAACTCTGCACCCTCTCCCATCCACATTATTTTAATTTTCTTTCAAAGAGTTACTTGACCATGGTCATTATGCTAAGTTCACCCAGATAATTCAGGATAATCTTCCTCTTTTAGTATCAGCTGATTAGCAGGTGTTAGAAATATCAAAATTGTTAGAAATAAGTAATTGGTGCCACGAAGAAAAGTCAGTACGGAGACGAAAGACCTCTCAGCAAGGCCATCTTTACTTTCTACAGAAAGGGTGCTCATTCGCAGATGGAACCATGGCGAGAACACACCTGAACAAAGGAAAAGCAGACATATTTATCCCTTACGCATTTGGGTCGTCCTTACTGCTGTGTCCTGCATCCATTGGCTGGAGCGGGACCTCACAGTCTGAAACTGATACCCGATTTGCTAATAGCCTAAAACTTTCCTACATAGGTAAGTGCAAGAAAGAACAAAGGAGAGGAAGTTGCTTACGAAAGGTTTAAGGAAGCAATAACATTTCGAAATAAGGAAGGGGCACAGGATGTGAGCTGGGATGTGCCTGTGAGCATGTCCGACAATTACATAGGATAGGGCTTAAAAAAGAGTTATTAGCACAAAGCAAGGAGGCTTGAAGAAAGTTAGTCTTTAAAATAAACTATTATTTCTAACAATTATGATTTATTCTTTAACAGGGGGGAACATTGAAGAGGAAACTTTTTACTTTCTACAGCAGGCTTAATTCCATTTCCCTTAATTTCCCCCTTGACATGTAACACAATATATTAGTATATTCTGGGGATTAAAACTTAGAGTACATTATTCTGCTAACATACTTCCCTAATGCATTTCCATTGCAATACCCACAACTTGTCACCTTTTCCGCTGAGCATTTGATCTTAGCCCAAATACTACCTGGATTTAAACAATGCCTCTTCTCACTTGGAAGAGAACGCTAGAGTGAACGTGGAGCAGATGTCATTGTCGTAGTGAAATGCAGTGAAGGCTTTTCTACGACTACTTTAAAATAAATTTTTGTTTGTGACCTTCAGCAGCAAAACAATCCCCTGACCTTTATGACTAGTCATGGAATTGTCACCATTGGAAATTAATGTTCTTACAGTTCTGCTGCTCAAGAAATAATTGCTTTTAAATTGCTCCAGGGAAATGTCTTTCTTTTGTGAATGCCTCATTAAGATTTTATCAATTCTGCTTTTATTTTTTTCTTTTTACATTTAAATATAAGGATTCCTTAGGCATTTTCAATAAAAGTTAATGAGTTATACGAAATCTGGTTGTAAAGTGAAATTTCTTATGTTGAATGCTATTTCCTAATGGAGTTCTTCTTTATGAAGGTAGAATTACAATGTGGTTCTTCTCCTTAGTACCAAAAATATAGAAATATAAAGGACAGCCTCAGTGAAATGTTATTCTTGGAGCCCAAGTTATGGTGCATCAGTATCAGTTTCTTTCAATATTAAATGAATAGGTCTCTTTACTGATACAACCTTTCCTCATAGTCTAAATTGTACTTGACAGAGAATAACTCGTAGTGAAAGCTAATATATTTCTGAAGCAACCTAATTGTTATGTTTTATTAAATAATAATAATGTAATAATTTATATAAAAAACAGATGAAAGTGAGATGTTTTTTATTGTATAAAATGACCAAATTGATATTAAAAGTCTAAAATTTTCGGAGGGCAGATGCTTTAACAATTCATCTTGTAAACTGCTTAGCATGGCTCAAAACTTGAAGTCCTAGATAAACACTTTTGTGGAAATAAAATATTTCAGGCCCTTTAGCTTTAAAAAACTAATTAGATGATTCATGAAGGTTTTATGTGAATGTCTTCTTTCTCCCAAGAACACTATGTTTCTCTACAATATAGCCAATAAAATTATATTGTTATAATAACTTTATTTAGTAGAAATCACATCTTTATTTTGAATATCATGATTCTGAGAGAGTGAAAGCTTCAAAGACTTGTCCAAAATCATTCAATTGTATATGCAGAACTGGATTTAAACAGGAATCATTTTAATTGTGTGAATTAGTTTCCATATATTAATATATCTTGCATATTTTTGTTTTTTAATTCATTTCTCAAATAAAAAACAATAACCACAACTATTATTTTTGCCTAACTAACCTTGGAAATGTTTGAAATAAATTGTATTTGTCATGTCTAATATGCTTCCCTGGTGGAAAGTTCTAATGACCATTTGTTCTATCCATTTTTTTCCAGAAAACATTATCTAAGTCCGAGAATTGAGGGTTTTTTTTTTTTCTGTAAGAGTGATTTTAAAAGACACTTTGAATATTAGAATTTATCAATAAGAACATATCCTGAAACCAGAAAACAAATTAAAAATATATATATGCATTTTATGCACAAAATTTTCTAGGATAAACCTAAGAATCTGTTAGAATTTTAAAATTAACCAATAAGTTTATAGAAATATAATAATCTGAAATCAGAGGGGAAAAATAAAAATTGAATATAGGAAATTTGATGCAGGCTTTAGAAAGCAGGTAGGAGGACCAGGTAAACAACTAATCAGTGTTGCCTCTCTATAAGTCCAGGTCTGCTTTTAAGGTAGCGTCTTTCAAACTACGGGTCACAGCACAGCAGTGCTGTGAAATAAAGTTAGTGGGTTGAAACTAACATTTATTTTGTAAATCAGATGGAATATGCTATGTCAGAATAAAAGATAACAGAGCCAAACAGAATAGAATGGAATGGAAAATATTTGACAACATTGCAGCAGGTAAGGAGGGTAAATGTATATCTGAGAAATTTTGCTTTAGTATATGTGTGTGTACACATGGCTGTGTGCACATATGTATTGGTCGAGATATAAAATGTGTTTCTCTATGTGAGTTGTGGTCAAAACATTTGAAATCTACTTCCTTTAGAACTTACAACTGTAACACTTGATGTTCATATTAACAGCAGAGAAAAGCTATGTATTGGGTGATATGGATGAAGAAATAATACGGATCCTTGTTATTGAACATTAAAACACAATAAAAATAGCAACACCGACAACATCAATAATAATAATAATAGGCCAGGTGCAGTGGCTCACACCTGTAATCCTAGGACTTTGGGAGGCCAAGGCGGGCAGAGCGCCAGAGTTCAGGAGTTCGAGACCAGCCTGGCCAACATGGCGAAACCCCATCTCTACTAAAAATACAAAAATTAGTCGGGTGTGGTGGCAGGTGCCTGTAATCCCAGCTACTTGGGAGGCTGAGGCAGGAAAATCACTTGAACCCGGTGGGCAGAGGTTGCACTGAGCAGAGATCGTGCCACTGCACTCCAGCCTGGGCAAAAGAGCAAAACCCTGTCTCAAAATAATAATAAACATATAAAATTACCATGTGACAGACTTCCAAGTGCTTTACATTTATTACCATTAAATTCTCACAACTCAACTGTATGAAGTTCTATCATCCCAATTTTAGAGTAAACTTAAGCAAAAAGATGCTAGCAAGTTGGGGAACCAGATTCTAAAACTGGCAACGGGTCCATTATCATCCCATGCACCTTTGCACTGTTCCTTCTTGATCTCATGGAGACTGAAGGTGAGTCTGCTTTGGAAAGCAATGAAAGAAAATAGAAATTGCTTTGACAATCTTATTAGCATGTGATCTATTGATATCAAGGATCTGTAGTTTGCGAAGTTAGGCCACAGATCAGGAGAACAGGTGTTTTCTTACAGAGCAGCAGTTCCAATACCTGCCAGTAGCTTCTTGGAGTAATAGGTAGAGAAGAGTTCCCAAATGCTGGGCTGACCAAGTGGAAAAAGCAAAATGCTGCAAGTGATTGGAAACGTCTGCTGTAATGTAAGCACAGGATATGAGAGAAGAGACTCGCTTAGCAGGTGATTACCATTTATCCATCTATTCATTCATTTAATAAATGCATTTTGAGGTCCTAGTCTGTGACTGATACAGTGACATTGTGATATAACTCTGACCCCAAGGGGCAAAGTCTCTGTTCTTCTGAAGCTTATATTCAATTAGGGAAAGCTGGTTAATGAAGCAAATACATAAACAATGATGTAATAACTTTTTCGGAAACGATCGTGCTCTGAAGGAATGAGAAACAGAAAAAAAACATACAAATTACTCGTAACTAGAGGGGGAAGAGTTGCTGTTTTAGTTACGATGGTCAGGAAAGTTCTTTCTATGAAAACAATATTTTAGCAGAGATTTCAGTGAAGCAAAGGCATGAGAGAATATGTTCCAGGCAGAGGGAAAACCGACTGCAGATGTCTTCAGTGTCTTTAGTGTGACGCTTTGCAAGTGCTCCTTTCTTGGACCTGTTCACTATATGCTTCGAGTTTTAACCGTTAATTTGGGCCTGGAAGGCTGGGCACTGACATTGACATGCTAGCAGTAGTCATCCTGAGGGAGTGGGATAGTGGGAAAAGAGGAACCCCTTTCATTTTGTGGTTGTGTTATTGGTGAATAATACTACATATACATTTTTATTATATTTATTTTCCAACAATCACATCATGCTTGTATATTAGATGCATTAAATTACTTACTTTTTCTGTTCATCACATACACACTACCTTAGACTCAATGCAATGAGTCATGGGACTGGCTGAGCAGACACCAGTCTTGTTTTCCTGTGACCAACAGGAAACATTTTTGGGCAATATTTTTTAAAAGGAAAAAAAGCTATTGATTTTTTTTGCAAACAAGCACTTGTATTTCCACGTTTCAGTGAGTTAGGTAAAATCATCATAAACAAATGGGCCCTGAATCCCTTGCTCCTGCCCTGATTTTCTGTTGTGGTTGCCATGGAGACCCAGGCACATTCAGGAGCTACGCAGAGGTTCCAAGTTAAGGGATAAGACAAATATGACTAATAGTGGATGGGCTGGTGCAGGTGACACCTGCAAACTGGGTCTTGCAGGATGGTAAGTGCCATCCATCACTTTGGAGGAGGCACTGGAGTACCAGCAATCCTGCATCAGTTGCAAGGCAGAGGCTGAGAATCCTTCCAGGAGGACAACCCATGCTTTTCCCTTTGCACCCAAGTTCAAAGAGGACACAGTGAATGAGAGCGCTGCCCCAGAGACACCACCCAGTGACCAGTTTCATAAACCGGGATATTACAAAGCACAGATAGCTCTGGGATGGAACAGTGCTTTTGGAAGTTCGTAAAAGTGGAATAGTTTGAGAACCTGATAACACGAATGTTCCATCATGTATCACTTTGGTAAATTTTTCTTCAAAACAATCTGTGCTTTTTTTCCTGTCTGCTTCTAGTATTATTTTCCAATTTGAACCCATGATGTCTTTTATTTATTTGCGTCTATAATTTTCATAAGGCATTTTAAAAAATTGACACTGATCTTTCTACCAGCAAAAAAGAGGACTGTGGTCATTTTCGGGGAGAGTTAATAATGCTTCAAAGTGCTGGAACAAGAGAATGAAGCAATCATCTCTCTCATCAGGCAGCTCCAAAGCATTAAATCTACTCCAAAACAGAACTAATGCCCAGGTATAATTTTAGTGATGACTGAAACCTGAACTAATTGACAATTTCAGTTTAATTTATATAATAAAAGGTTTTTAAATATCCAGAACTCAAACAGATATTCATCAGACATTTTATATTTCAATTCCAGTTTTTATTATTTTAAAACATTTTATTTTCTCCACTTGAAAAAAATGATACAGGGGCAGAAGTACAATCAGATATCATCAGTTAAAAAGGCAATTAGAATAGTGGAAACCAGGTCAGGTGCAGTGGCTCACGCCTTTAATCCTGGAACTTTGGGAGGCCAAGACAGGTGAATCACTTGAGCTCAGGAGTTTGAGACCAGCCTGGGCAACATGACAAACCCTGTCTCTACAAAAGAATATAAAAATTAGCTGGGCATTGTGGTGCACACCTACAGTCCCAGATACTCAGGAGGGTGAGATGGGAGAAAAACCAGAGCCTGGGAGGTCCAGGCTACAGTGAGCCATGATCGCACCACTGCACCGAAGCCTGGGCAACAGAGCAAGACCCAGCTTGGTGACAGGGCAAGACAAGACCCTGCCTCAAAAATAATAAATAAATAGGGGAAACTGGATGCAGGGAATATGGAAATTATCTGCGCCAAAATCCAACTGAGTGTACCAAATCTAGCTCTTCAACATCAAGTGTTCCATCTGGATATAAATGCATTCACAACTGTAGTTTGCAAACAGTGTCTCTGAATGGAAAACAAAATTGATGCCTCTACTTGACTTTATTTGACTCTAGATTCTGGGTTTTGAAAAGATAAACCTAACGTAATGGGGAATCAGCATTTTTGGCTCCTTTTATGAAGTCATGGGCACAGCTACTTGAAGAGGGTGACTGCTGTGACATGAATTAGAAAACATGCGGCATTGCAGGTTTTGAGTTGCTGTTCCTGCACCACTTTGTCAGAAACAAACCCTTAAAATTTAAATGGCATTTTCTCCAATTCCAGGAGTGTTTCAGTTGAGAAAAAAATGCTAATGTTAATCACTGAAGAATTTTCCTGCCTTTCACTAGGCCCTGGTTTAAGGACCACTTTAGATGCCAATGAAATGTTTCTTGCAGATGTTAATGAAAAACCTTCTGTTGAAGATGGAAAAGTTACTTGATGTGTTTTATTGCCCTAAAATCAAAGTGAAAATTAGCTTCTTATAGACTCATTGAAGGAGCTGAAATAAACATGTAGTTCCAAATGCTATGACTGTATTTGGAATGAGATGATTGAGAAAGCATTTTTTTCTTTTTCAGATGTGCATCCAATACTGATTCTGAGACTCTCTGCTCAGAATTAACCTTTGAGAGGCTGGGAGACATATGCATCAGTCTAACTAAACCAGAGAAATGTGAAAAACAAACAAATAAATAAAAATAAAAATAAAAGAATCAATGAGCTAGGTATTGGATGAGAGAAAACGTTTACTGCAATTGTAGGGAGAGAACTTTTTTTTTTTCAGTTTGATGGATTTATTTGCAGAGAACCAAATCTGCCGCTGGGAACAACTACAAAAGCTGAATTTAAAAATAATGATGTTTTGGCTGGGCGCGGTGGCTCATGCCTGTAATCCCAGCACTTTGGGAGGTCAAGGCGGGTGGATCACGAGGTCAAGAGATTGAGATCAGCCTAGCCAACATGGTGAAACCCCATCTCTACTAAAAATACAAAAATTAGTCAGGCATGGTGGCGTGCGCCTGTAGTCCCAGCTACTCGGGAGGCTGAGGCAGGAGAATTGCTAGAATCTAGGAGATGGAAGTTGCAGTGAGCCAAGATCGCACTACTGCACTCCAGCCTGGCAACAAAGCAAGACTCTGTCTCAAATAATAATAATAATAATAATAATAATAATAATAATAATAATAATAATAGTGTTTCAAAGTGTCAGGAAGATACCAAGGTAGCTAAGATTTAGACAAGATCTTTTGGAAAAGAAAAACTCATTGATATGAAGCCCAAACTCTTCTCCTTGAAGCATTTTCTCACTGTGACTGCAAGAGGGAAGGACCCTGAGGCTGAGCAGAAGCTCAGCCCAAAGTGACAGCTCAGCAGAGCTGCTGGAAGCCACAGAGGATTGAGAGACAGGAATTGGTGTTCTGACCTTCCAAGGCAACCAACTCTTGACAGACAGTGATCCCAGAGACAAGGAGAATATAGGGAATAAGTCAAAACTGAGCCTCTGTTTGCCTGTAAGACATCTGCCATCTCTTAAACTCACCAGGGTAAGGTGGTAAGAACACAACCAGAAAGCAGGCTCTATAAGGCTAAGAAGCTGAGCTTAGGTTGTGCTTATAACATGGTCAAACATTAGTGTTGAGGCCTACCCAGAAGTTGGGCCTTTATACAAATAACCTGGGCTCTCTATTGGGAGCAATGAATGGCTATGGCCTAGGGTTAACAGTGAACCAGAAATAATAAAGACAAAAATGAATGTTGGGTTCGAGCTCAGATTCCATCACCTACTGGATGTAAGACCCCAAATCAACTCAATCCACGGTTGGATGAAGGTTAACTGCACCCAATCTAATGGCAGGTCAAAACTAAAATAAAATCTCTCTGGAAAAATATGATACCCAGAGTCTCAATTTTTTTATATAAATGTTCAAAACTTTATTAAAGGATATAAGAACACCAAAGTAATTCTGATATACTAGACTAAGAGAAAATCAATAGAAGCAGACTCATTAAATTTCATTTTGTAAATACTGATTAACAAACATGATTAATATATTTGGCAAAATATGACTTATGGAGTAAAAATAAAATGGAAATTGTAGAACTGAGAACATAACTGCCAAGTACTCCATAATCTTTCTAATTATCTTTTACCTTGATTTAGAGTTTTTCCAAAGGATTAAAGTGAGATTAGTAAACCAGGAAACCTCTAAGATCATTAAACCCCAGGATCTTTGACATTCGCCAGTCACTGGGTCTTTGAGATAGACACATGTTAGTCTATGTAAAGTGTTAACCAGAATCCGTTTCTCTTCCAGTCTAGTTCTGGCCTCTGGTTGCAGACCAATTAGTAAATTCACATACATGTCAATAACTCAGTCATGCCTTAGTGATATCAATGAGGTGAATAAGAATTCTGCACATACTACACTGTGGTGAGCACTGCTTAATACCATCCAAATTACGGCAAGTGATTGGGATGGGGGTTCAGAAAGAGAATGACCATACAGGTTAGTGTGGTGAGACTTGAGCTTTCTTGGCTAGCATCATGGACAATCACTCTTGTGAAGGAATCATTAATTTGAGTGTTCCTATTTCCCATCACATGCAGATTCAGGGGGAAATTCTTCCAAATCTCCTCTCCTGCCTCTTCTTTTACAGTGTAGAAATACCTGCCCAAATCAAACAAAACTAACAAAAGTAGCCAATCTCATGAAGCTCATGTTCTATACACATAGGAAGGCCCCTTAGCACCTTACTATCTTAGAAGTTATTTTGCACATTAATATTAATATTGTGCAATTGGCTATTTGGTGTCTAAACCCACAGAAGATAAGTTAACAGCAAATCAAGAAACAGGAATGAGCAACAGGTAGGTGATGCGAGAGCAAATAAAAATAAACACTATAACAAAATGAAATATATATACACACATACACACAGCAAAAACAAGAGCTTACAAAAGCATCCATTTTAGCCTCTAATTATTGAAACAAATAGTTCGAATGACTTCAATAACCCCGACATTTGCCTCCATATGTCTACACAATATCAAAATGTCTATCTATAATTATTATATTGAGTCATGATTAGAAATTTAAAAAATAATCAGTAGAGCTAGGGAACAAAGTAATATTGTAAAAATAACCCCTTCCCATCTAAAGTACCAAACACCTACATGTGACTTGCCACATGATAAGCAGTGTTCTAAATGCTATCTGTCTAAATTCAATTAATTCTCATAATGACCTTATGGGCTGGGTACTATTTACTGCACTCCTTTTCTAGATGGATAAACAAAGATAAAAAGAGACTAAGTGAGCTGCTCACAGTCTCACATCCAATAGGTGACAGAATCTGGGTTTGAGCCCAGTCTTATCACGACTCTTGCTCTTAATCTATTTGCACAATGAATTCAAGTAGCTTAAGATTTTTACTTTTTCAGAAGAGTATTTAAATGCTATAAAGATTAAAACCACTGAAAGCACATATATGTCTTCAAATGTAATAAATACAGTTGGTGAAGCCCCATGGAGGCTAATGTTGCATCAGCCATTGTGAGCTGGTTTAAAATGTCTAAAATGAACAAATGTGGTAAAAAACTTATTGTAAAAGAAATTCTACAAATATTTTTAAGTGATAGAAATGTTGGTCAAAAATAATAGTGTGTTTGCATTACCAAACACTTGACTATATTTCTACTGGATGCCCATTCACCTCCTGTGTTTGATGACTGATGATTTCTCAGGAATGGAACCATGTTTGAAACGGAATATAAATGTGCATTTGGAGAACTGAGGCACTGAATAAACTCTGTGGGCTGCAGGTTGCTGATGGATATGTGACGAGGTAAGGGAGATCTGTGTTGTTCTGGTGCTACCATTTATAAGCTCTTTTTTCATGGGCAAACAATTGTTTTATAGCTAGCCTCATTTCTAACCTTGTTAGATCTGGAAGACTAATGGTGCATTGGCAGAATACTGGGGGCCAAAGATGTCCAAGTCCTAATCCCCAGGATCTGTGACACCACTAAGAAGACTTTGCGGATGTGATTAAGGTTACGGAAATTGAAACAGAAGGATTATCTTGGATTATCTGGGTGGTCCCAACATAATCGATGAGCTCTTACAAGCAGGGAACTTTCTCTGCTTGTAAGTCAAAGATATGTAGCAGAAGAGGAAAGCAGAGTTCAAATGAGACAGATGAGAAAGTGGAGATTTTACAAGTGTGAGAAGGTCTGGACTTGCCATGGAGATGGAGGAAGGAGGCCATGCTATGAACCAAGGAATATGGGTGGCCTCTAAATGCTCAGAAAGACCCCCAGAAGACAGCCAGCAAGAAAATGGAACCTCGGCCCTACAGTCTCAAGGAACTCAATGATGCCAAAAGCCTAAATTAAGTTCAAAGCTAATGCATCCCAGAGCTTCAGAAGCTCAAGACTGCCAAGGTCTTGGTTTCAGTTTGGGGAGGCCTGTGTTGGATTTCTAGCCTATAAAACTGTGAGAGGATATATTTGTGTTCTCTTAAGCATCTATGTTTATAGTAATTTTTAAAGCAACAATAGGAAACCAAAACGTGTCATCTACTTCACAAGATTAAAAAATGAATCACGTATTTTTATTTTCCTTTTTCCTCTCCCCACCCCCCCCTTTTTTTTTTTTCTTGAGACAGTGTCTCTCTCTGTTGCCCAGGCTGGTGTGCAGTGGTATGACCTCAGCTCACTGCAACCTTCGCCTGCCAGGTTCAAGCAATTCTCCTGCCTCAGCCTCCCAAGTAGCTGGAATAAAAGGCACACATCACCACGCCAGGCTAATTTTTGTATTTTTAGTAAAGAAAGGGTTTCTCTGTATTGATCAGACTGGTTTCAAACTCCTAACCTCAAGTGATCTACCAACCTTGGCCTCCCAAAGTACTGGAATTACAGGCGTAAACCACCGCACCAGCCAAGTCACGTGTCTTAGAAGCATGCCTGGCAGATAATAAATTCTCCATCAACGTTAGCCATATAATTCATTACAAAGTTGAGAAGTAAATGAGACAAAATCCCTAAAGCACTTGGTATACAGCCTAGAGCCTAGCACACAGAAGGTGCCTAATCAACAGTGTTTATTGTTATTTAAAAAGAGATCTTACTTGTGAGCTATAAGAGAGCATGTGGCTTTGTGCAGAGAAACTGTAGGACCCTCTCTGCCTTGTTTCTTTGCTTTCATAAAAATATTGAGATATCTAACTTAGCTGAGAAGCAACTATAGACTTAAAGAAGCGTACTAAAAATGAAGTAATTTTTTGGAATTAAAAAAAAAATAAAAAAGGATGAAAGAGAGGTCAGATTGCTCTTAAAGCAAACTTCCTTGACCTTGGGCTATGTTTCCTGAAAGCTTCAGGAGCTTTTTCTTCGTGAAACATTTAAATGTGTCCCTTTTATATCAGTAATAAGGGCATTAATGGAGGAGGTCAGGGCAGGCAGGAGCAGGCTGGGTGACGTGTGTCCTGGCCTTGTCAAATGGTGTCACTCTATGGAAAGGCAGCATTAAATTTCTGAAAGTCAAGTCAAGCAGTATGTCCGACCTGGAAACGTTTTGCCTTACCACAGCTAAATAATTAAATGCTGTCACGGCTCAGCGTGTTGCTTAAAGTTAACACATCAGGATTTGCATTATTCTTAGCCACGGGCACATTTTTCACCAGTTTTAAAACCCTCACAATAACTGGAATGTCCTGTCCAGCCCTTGTGCACACGATTTTCGAAGCATAGCAGCTCCTCGAAACAAATGTATTTAGTCAGAATAATATGTCCGTCGCCAAGCAAAGATGAATCATGATTTGATGGAGCTTGAAATTAGTCTGTAAAGCTCGGCGGGAAGATGGGTTTCACCTGCCTGCCCTATCCATTGTTTACGCCTCCAGCGTGACTCGGAGACGTGTTCAGGGCTGAAACTAGGAAACCAGGTGACACTCATCTGTTACATAACAGGCCTTCCCTTTTTCCCTCCTTTGTAGCACTGATCATGGGTTCAATTAAAACAGAATTTGTGCAATTTTCCAGGGGCCGCATCAACAGAGAAGTGACAAAAACAAACGAGTAAATCAGGTCGACTGCAGCACGGGAGGGTTTGTGCAAACCAGAACACGGTGATTTATAAATACCACTTGAAAATGTGACGTGTACCCATTTTATAGATAGAGATACCTGAAAAGAACAACTGCTACTCACAGTGAATATTAGGACCATAATTCACACCTATGGTAATTTCCTAAAGTAGAAAATGTGTTTCACGGTCTAAAATAGTCATGGCATACCATACCTATAACTCCTGGGACAGTGTAAGACTTTGCCAAGCTGACTCCAATTTAGCAATACTTCATGCTTTTTAAAAATGATATAAAAAGGAAAGGGAAATGGGGAGCCTACTTAATAGAACCAGCTTTCTGATGATACCTAGGAGCACTAGTTCCCGTAGGAATGGGACATTTTATTTCTGTGTTTGTTTTGCTGTCGTAAAGCATCATTTTTGTCCTACTTCCATATGTTATGGGAAGATTTCCATTCATCTCAGACTTTCCGAACTCTCTTATTTAGGGAACCACTTGAGTATACGTTGTTGAAAAACATATAAAGCTTTGGGTATGGTGACAAGTGGTTTAGCAAAACAGTTAATTTATATCTTGAAAGAAATAAAGGAGAAATGGTGGACTTGAAGTTGCAGCTTCTAGGAACAGAGATGAGAGATGGAGGAGCAGGGAAGAGAGAGGAAGGGGAGGGGATGGATGGAAGGAGGGAGTGGGAAGAAAGACAGAGCCTTTCTTAGAGTCTGCACCCTTAACTTTCTGTCTCTGAGTTACCTCCCGCTCCCCCCGCTCACCCTGCCCTCTAACAAAGGAGACACAGTTATACCCTATTATCAAGATTTTTATTGTATTTACTCTTCTTGTTTCAGTCCCTTTCTTTACCCTTGAAGCCTTAAAGTAAATCTGTGACACCTGCATTGCTTAAGGATTTCCTTTAGGTGATTAAATGAGATCAGGGTGGTGTCTATTATGACACAAACAAAACAAAACAGTACTATGATGGGAGGTACAGGAACCCAGAGATGGAGGGAGAGGCAGGGGTAAGAACAAGAGCAGGCATCTTCCTTCCTCCCAGGCACAGAAGCAAAGGGAGGCTGTGGTGCTGACATCCCCACTGTGTAAGGAGGGGGAGGGCTGGAGCCCTGTGTTTGGACACAGAAGAGAAAGAGAATCTGAGGGATACCAGAGGCAGGGCATCTGGTTTACCCACAACATCGGTTAAATAAACATCATACTGATTTTACCATTAAAACTGGGTCCCAAAAGAGTCATTTATTGGAAACTGTTTATCTGTTTACAACGCCTGTGTGTATGTCCTCGAAAATAATGTGTTTTCCTTAAAAACCTGAGTGAAGAATGTCCCCAAATGTACCATCCTGTATCTACATGGCCTGATTAGAGGCCTTAAGTTCCAGGTGTCCTTTAATTCCACTGCTCTGCGTTTTGCTCTCATGACCAAAGAGAACTGTCACCGTAAGCCTATCACTATGTATTTTCTGAGATGATATGAAGGAGGAATACTTTCAATAGTAAAAACTAAGAGAGGGACGTAATACCATTGGTTCAGTGTCATCTTACACATCTTCTGAAATATCTAGAGGAGAACAAACAAGTATAAATAAAAAGACTCCTTTTCCCCACTTACCCATTGGCTAGTAAAACCCAATGATTTGTAGCACCATGCATTTTTCCCTTCCTAGTGGCCTAGGAAAGATGCTCAACAATTTTCATTATATTTGAATGTTGATGTCAACTTGTCCCTAGGAATGAAGGGCCTTCAAGCAGTTAGGCAAAATACTGTCGCACAAGATTCTGTCCTGCTTCTGGGTTGCAGGAACCACCTGAATTGCCATCTAACCCCTGGGGCAAGTCCAACAAGGAACTGGCTACCTGAAGGAGGTGCCCCAGGCAAAACACAGATGAGGATAACAAAGTTCCACGGGGAGGAACCTACCTGGAGAACAACGAGAAGAGTCCTGCTTCAGCTGTGCCAAAGAATGGGTTCTTTTTCTTATGGCAGCCACATGCAGCCACAGCGGTGGTGTTGAAATGGGAAAGGTTCCCCCGTCCCCCTTGCAGGGCGTGCGATGGGGTGTGCTCGCCTCTTCAGTGCCCCGTTGGTCATACCTCTAGTGGGGCATAGAGATGGGCAGGTTGTGGGGCTCCAACCCCATGGCAGTGTCTAAGGGTGGATGTTTACAGCTGAAGCCCCAGAGGGCGTGTGTTCCAGGGTGCGCTCTTAGTTCACGGTCTATAGCTCAGTTAGACCCTCTACCTTGTCATAAGGCCAGAGGGCTTTCTGTATCCCGGGTTCTTGCCTTGGTGTACCGGAAGAATCGGATCACACGTGGGCTTGGAGAATGACTGCAAAATCGTATTGAGTGGAAGTAACTCTCCACCGACAGGAGAGTCAGAAAGGAGATGGTTTTCCCCCGGAGTTGGGCAGCTCCAGAAGGGAGATGGCTTTCCCCTGGAGTTGGGCCGCTGGGTGCCCGGGCTGTCCTCCTACTGCCCAGGACAAACTCCACCTCGTCCCACCGGTCGATGGCCTGCCGGGGAGCCCGCGGGCGAGCCGGCGTCTGTAGGTGTGTTCTTCTGCTGACATGCTCTCCGTGACCAGCCGCTTCTGTCTTCTTCCACTGATGCGTTCCTCTCGCCCTCCAGCAGCTTCTGTCTCTGCCTTGCTAGGGTCGTGGGTGTTTATAGGCCCAGGCTGGGGGCGTGGCGGGCCAGGGTGCTCTTGGAAAAGCAGGAGTGCCTGTCCTCGCCTAGGTCCCTGGGGCTAGAGGCCTAGTCACGGACTCTGCCCTTTCTACCCCGCGCTTTCCTTCCCGGCTTCCGTATCATTTAAAGGGACCGTGCTCTTCCTTTCCCAGCACTCCGGCTTGAGTGTTAAATGGCCAGCAGGAATTATCCACTAGAGAAGCGGAAGGGAGAGAATGGAAATGGCCGCATGCAGCTCCTCTCCCTCAGACAGCTCGGGGCTCAGCGGAATGAGCACAGTCTGCAGGACAAGTGCGGAGGACTTCAGTCCCCTCTACTGTATATTGGCTTTAGGACTCAAGTTGTCCCTGAAATAGAGGAAGGTGTTTTCTAGGGTAGTGGTAATTATCACAGTCAAAAAAGTAGGCGAGAGCACTTAGGAAAACTGTGCGGAGATCGGCTGCTGATGTGTAAATACTGCTGAAGCTGCTTATTCAAGGTAATCTGAATTTCCTTTTTTAAAAGTGGACTGAAACTCTGCTTTCTCATCAGAAGACTTTTTTTTTTTTTTTTTTTTAAGATTCTAACTCCTTTTGTCTGCTCTGTCACTTTTCTGAACTTTAAAATCTGTCAACTTTTAGGGAGGAAACAAAACCCGAAACATGAAATATTGGTGATTGTTAGTAACTCTTTCTGGGTTCATGGCAAAAAAAAAAAGGCAGTGGCTTTTTAATCTATGGATTTTATTAACCTTCCCTACATCAGTGCCCCAACAACTGCAATGACTGAAAAATATCTGTTCTGTTCTGAAATGGCAAGTCTACTTTGGAAATAGGTGGCATCCTCAGGACCTGGGGAAAATGTTTGAGACAGAGGATGGGCTGGCCTTATTATTATTTGTATCATTGTGAAAATGAGCTTCAATTTATATTTTACATTCACCCATTACTCTCATGGCCCAGATATGTATTTGTACTAACTCAGAGATGATAAAGAGGTAAGAGGTAGTTGGAATATGCTACTGGATTTATTAATTTCAACTTGAAGGCATATCCAAAAATTTCATTATCAGGAAATAGATGAAATAGCTAATAAGCATATGAATAACTATGAATTTTTTTTTAATTGTAATTCTCAGAAAACCAAAACTCCTACTGAACACAACTGGAAGTAAGATGGACAAAAATTAGTGAAATCAAAAAAACTAACATATAAAACAAACCCCCATGACACAAATTTACTTATAGAACAAACCTGCACATGTACCTGTGAACTTAAAAGCTAAATTTAAAAAAAGGCGGGGCAGGACTGGGCATGGTGGCTCATGCCTGTAATCCTAGCACTTTGGGAAGCTGAGGGGCAGGCAGATCACTTGAGGTCAGGAGTTCCACACCAGCCTGGCCAACATGGTGAAACCCCATCTCTACCAAAAATACGAAAATTAGCCAGGCGGGGTGGCAGCGCATGCCTGTAGCCTCAGCTACTAAGGAGGCTGAGGCAGGAGAATCCTCTGAATGCTGGAGGCAGAGGTTGCAGTGAGCCGAGATCTTGCCACTGCACTCCAGCCTGGGAGACAGAGTGAGATCTTGTTTCCAAAAAACAAAAAGATAAAAACAAAACTAAAATATTTTATAAGTCCAAACGAGATCTAAGACATTAAGAAGAACTCCACGTCAGGCTCCAGAGGATTAAGGAGACCCTACTAGAGCATAACGGGTTGTTTTGCTTTATTTATTTATTTATTTATTTGAGATGGAGTCTTGCTCTGTTGCCCAGGCTGGAGTGCAGTGGTGCAATCTTGGCTCACTGCACCCTCCACCTCCCAGGTTCAAGCAATTCTCCTGCCTCAGCCTCCTGAGTAGCTGGAACTTTAGGCACCTGCCACCACACCCGGCTAATTTTTGTGTTTTTAGTAGAGAAGGAGTTTCGCCATGTTGGCCAGGCTGGTCTCGAACTCCTAAGTTCAACTGATCCGCCCTCCTCGGCCTCCCAAAGTGTTGGGATTACAGGCATGAGCCACTGCGCCTGGCCAATCATCGCAGAGTTTTAGGCTTCTGTGCCTTGAAAGACAATTCCAGCAAATGTGCGTGGGAAGCTCAGAGACTGAAGATGCCTTTCCCAACTGTGCGAGACAACAGAACACAGGTTGCAGGCTAGGAATGGACTTGATTGGGGTCTAGGGTGTGTACTCCACACTTTTTTATCCAGACCATGAAAGCCTGCCTTTTTGGGACTAAGAGTAAGCAAGAATTAGATCATTTTGTTAGACTGTCCTGACTTGAAACTTCTCCTGGGTGCTGCTTCCACTTTCTGAAATAAGGACGACCTCTGTCTGGTGACTTTTCCTATCAAAATGTCAACAGTGGTATTTATTATACTATTTAGTGTCATTAGTCACCATTAATTGTTTCAAGTGCTTTTTCAAAGTCATTAGCTGAAATCCTCCAGCTCATTCAGCGATGCTTTCAATTAATCCACTTAAAGAGCTCTTTGTATCACAACCTATATGTGCTTGTTAATGGGTGATTAGTGGGTGGTATCCAATATTTTCTTCTTGAGACAATTCACAACTAAGCAGGGGTGGAGATGATGTATACACAACCCGAGTGGATTATGCAAGCTCCTCTTCCAAGTAGTAGAAATAATAAAGATTTAACGGCTATTTTTACATCTAAGGCTTCCCATGTTTTAAGGGAAAAAGAAGTTTGTATAGCTATGGCATATTTAGTCTTTCTAAAAGCTAACTACAGTCTTCATGCACAGAGTTGGGGGAAACACCATGAACACTGAACAGAAAAAATAGAAATAGCCCCCATGTACCACTTTGGAATATTCTTGCACAAACGTGAGATCCATCTTTTATTGAAGTCTGTGCTCAGCATGGTTTCATTTTCCAATAGCAGTCCCTTTTCTATCCAAGGTTATTTGAACAGAAATCAAAACTGGCGAGTTTCATGAGGGTGGCCAGACATGGAGCAGTTGGAACTGAGGTGGACAGGGAAAGGGCTGAGCTGACGGTGGGTCAGTCAGGTGGGACACCAGGCTCACAGAAGCCCAGCAGGAAGCTGAATACGAAGCTGACCTGCAGAGCTAAGTAACTGAGCATCTCGCTTCTGGAAGGAAGAACACACTACCTAAGTTGAATTTCTCTTTCCCTCACTTACAGGGGAACTATTAACCTCCCCATACCTCCGTTTCTGCATCCTCAAAATGGGGATAATAGTTTATCCATCTCACTGGGTTGTTGGAACAATTGCATGAGATAATGTGTGCTTGGCATCTTCCACACAGGCCCATCTGATCAGTGAACATGGGACCTGGTGCCAACCCCAGGGCCTCTGCACTGGGTCACCTGCTTAGAGTCTCATCTTCTGGGTCTTTCCATGGCTGACTAACTCTTCATTCAGATTTCCCTCCTTAGGGAGACCTTCCCCAAGAATCTTTAAAAACTATTGTCTGGAGTTTATTTTTGTAATAATATTCACCAGTGTCTGAAATGTCATTAGTTTATTTGCTTATTGCAGTCTCCTTGCCCCTAGAATGACCTCCCCTGAGCATCGGGACCATGTTTGTCTCATTTCAGCTCAACCATCCCAGCATTGAGCATTGCGCTGTCACAAAGCAGTTCCCAAATCAAACAGAAATTCCACATGAGTGAATAAGTGGATATGTGACTGTTGGGGAATGGATCAGCAGGGTACAGGGCCAGGTATCAGCAGCTCCAACAAGGAGAACAGTACGCCGAAGGAACCTACTAGAACAGTACACTGAAAGAAACTATTAGAACAGTACGCCAAAGGAACCTACTAGAACAGTACAAGAAACCTACTACAACAGTATGTTGAAGGAACCTGCTAGCTTGATACAAGAGTAACTGTGGTTTTTGCCATTAAAAGTAATGGCAAGGCTGGGAGCCATGGCTTACATCTGTAATCCCAGCACTTTGGAATGCCGAGGCGGGTGGATCACTTGAGGTCAGGAGTTTGAGACCGGCCTGGCCAACATGATGAAACCCCATCTCTACTAAAAAGACAAAAAGTAGCTGGGTGTGGTGGTGCATGCCTATAATCCCAGCTACTCAGGAGGCGGAGGCAGAAGAATGGCTTGAACCCGGGAGGCAGAGGTTGCAGTGAGCCAAGATAGTGCCACTCAACTCCAGCCTGGGGGACAGAGGGAGACTCTGTCTCTAAATAAATAAATAAATAGGCCGGGCATGGTGGCTCATGCCTGTAATCCCAGGACTTTGGGAGGCCGAAGTGGGTGGATCACCTGAGGTCAGGAGTTCGAGACCAGCCTGAACAACATGGTGAAACCCCATCTCTACTAAAAATACAAAAAATTAGCTGGGCGTGGTAGCGGGCGCCTGTAGTCCCAGCTACTCGGGAGGCTGAGGCACGAGAATTGCTTGAACCTGGGAGGCGGAGGTTGCAGTGAGCCGAGATCGTGCCACTGCACTCCAGCGTGGGCAACAAGAGCAAAACTCCCTCTCAAAAAATAATAATAACAATAAATAAATAAATAATGGGAAAAACCACAATTACCTTTGCACTAACTTAATACTTACAGAATCTCTACTTTTCTCCATCATAATTTTTGAGAAACCTTCTTATTTTTAGGCTGCTGTGTCAAAACCCTTTTGCCTGGCAGGCCTGCCCCATCTTCCCCACAAGAAAGCACTGCCGGTTTCCTCCAGCTTAGAGCCCAAGGCTGTGGGGAAGACAGTGTCAGGATGGTAAATATAAGGTGTGGCTGTCAGTCTCCCTCTGTTTCTGTGCTTGATGAAGGCAGAGGGAAGGACAATAGTGCATTTGAGCCTTCCTTTTGAAACCGACTTTATGAGAGAATGAATGGCAACAGGGACAGTAGCCACATCAGCAGCAGCAGCAGGCACTGCAGGGTTTCCCCAGGCCTGGTGCTGTTTCCTACACGGTATCTCGTTGCTTCTCACAGTGGCCCAAAGAGGTAGCTACTATTATTATCCCCATGTTACAGTTCAAGAAATAGGCTCCCCAAACTTCTGGACCTTCCCCAAGGTCATGCCATGGATACAAATCAAGGTCAGGAATCAAACTCAGGCCACTGAACTGTAGAGCTTCCATGTTTAACCGTGAAGAGTGTTCCAAGGAGACAGCTCAAGTTGAATAAATAAAATAAATGAGATAAGTAGAAGGACTTATGTAATCATGTAAGAAGGAAGTACATGAAAAATATGTATGTTTGTGCTTGATTGATTGATCAATTGATCAGTTGATTTAAAGGAATCATGGAGACTGAAGACAGTGGGAATAGGAACAGTCTAAGCCCTGTGCAAAGGTAATAAATACTCTTTTTTTTCTTAGTAGTTTCCAGGCAGCAATGTAGTATCATGAGCAAATATTATGTTTTCGTTTTTATTTCACAAGAGAAGGCAGAAACCTAGAATTTGATATGATGTTTTCACCCCACTCCTCATTTTAAATAGGTAATTAAGTTTTTTTAAACTTTGAACAGGCCAACACAAAAGGATTGAGACACCAATCATGGGGGGCTAATATGGCCTCGAGCTATCGGTTTCAACCTCTAGTTTTGGGGATTGGTTTAGGAATTGGGCTATACTGAATTATCCCAGGAGAGCTGTCTGTTTTCTGTGTGTACAGTGAGGATTGTGGGGGTGGGGACTTGCTTCTAAGTATGTTTAGAAACCCATCTCGTGAAGGTCATAGGGGTCTGCTTTTACATTCACAACATGGACTTCACGTCTGAACCTAGAGGCGGGCGTGGAAGAATGAACTTGTATAATTGGCCATGAGGCACAGCACAGAAAGCCTCCTGGCACATTAAGGACATTATCAGTCTAAGAGGATGGATGTTTTTCCACATTCCACTAATGTCTCAGCATTGTGAGGAATGTAGACCTTGGCTTTGACTTATGAATTCAAGAATGAAGACTAATGATAGGGAAAACATAATTGTAACCCTTCCTCCTACCTTCCTCCTTCCTGCAGGCAGCTCCCTCACTGTTGCAGGGGCATCTTTCCCGTTAAGCAAATGAGAGTTCCACGTGCAAATGGTGTCCTGGGATCAGGGCGAGATGATCCCTGTCTGGATACATTTTAATATTGCGTGTGTTGTTTCACATCCTTAAACATACTCTCAGAAATATGTTTAGCAATCTAACAGAATTGAAATCAAGTTTAATGTAAAATTACATTGATTTTCTATAGGTCAAAAGGGTGCAATTAAATGTGTTTTTACTATATTGTTAAAAATCAAGTTACTACTATCCTCTGCCTGTTTGATTAAATGATGACATACTCCACATATGTAAATGATGCATTTTCATCATGAAGGGATTGAGTCAAATTGAGGGACCGTGTGTTTTCAGAGAATGAGATCTATGAATCGATGAAGGCAAGAACTGTTCTCAGTAACAAGTGGAGTCTTACTGTATTTGAAGAAAATTGCATGCTTTTGCTTTGCCTTCAAATTGGGCTTTGTTGTTGTTGCTATTGTTTTCTGTTTAATCAAACACGAAGTTTAAAACTCCAAAACTGCAGGTGTCGTACTTGTTCTATAAGCCAATATCTCCCTGAATCTTGTGCCCATAGCTAGCACTCAAATGTGTATGTCATTGCATACTCCAAGTAGTTAGTTTTCTGGATACTGATATTTAAAATTCCTAAATGTCTTGGTGTTTTTAAAGATGATCAATATGGCAGAACCACCATCAACTTGGAGATTAGTGTCGTGTGTTCTCATCTTCCATACATCTTGGATAAATCACTTATCTCAGATGGTAAAATGAAGCCATTAGAGCTTACTGGTGCCCCTAGGTAGACAGCGTGTGCCTCAGCTGCAATGAGAGGTGATTTTAGGTGGCACCAGCCTCCATATTAAATGATATTAAACCATATGGTGAAAAACCATTTCCCATTATAATTCTCCTTTAGTCTGCCTGGTTGCATGAAGCAGAAAATCTGTTTGGTGAAGATGTGTTTTTTTAACTTTTTAATCCCCCTCTCTAACAACGGGAGAGCCCATTCCGGCTCAGGGATGAGCACCTAGCTGGAATTTTTATTATATTTATTCATTTCTATTGAATTTGTTTTGAAGGCCAGACATAGTAACTTTTCTAAAAATCTAGTGACCTTCCTGTCCATCCTTCCTCTCTTGCTGTAGTCCTAGGCTATCTCAGCATGTGAACGACGATAGCCTCTAGGCTAGGCAAGAAATTATAGCCGAAGACGGAAATTGAAAAGCTGAGATAGTAGTTGAATAAGGAAACTTACATGGCCAAATGGCTTTTCACCTATGGTGGAAATCATGTTTGTGATGGGAGGTTGTTTATACCCTCAACTTTGTGATAACTAACTTGCATCTTGTGGCCTCAATGACTTTATTCTGTATCTTCAATGCCATATAAGTGACCTGACTTCACTTGTTAGCAACCAAGCAGCCCACACCTTGTCTTGGCTTTATACCTACAGGCCTCTGTGTAATTTCCTGGTGACTCAGGCAGATCTATACCGAAAAGGCAATAAAAACGTGTGTTTTTCCCATTATTCTCTTTACATGAGCGAAAAACTCAGTCCTTTGTCTATAATTCTCATTAGTCATTGATTACTCACAAGGGGCGGGAAGGAACAGAGACCCAATAACAGTAGGGAGAAAGCTCCTAAGCATGTTCCCTGGGGAAATACAGTAAGAGAAAATTCCCTGGTGAGCCTTTTGCACAAAGCATTGCACTGAGAATTATAAAGCTAGAGAGAATATTTCGATGGAATTAATTGCACATGATTTTTTAACTAGATGGAAATTGACTAGCATATTATAGCTCCCTTATTACATTTAAGTGCACTCAGCGTATACTGTACAAATGCCACAGATAAACCATCTGCCTCTGCTAGGGCTTTGATTCATTATGAATAATCTTTGCACAACCTGCACTGTCCTCTACCCAGGGGCTTCCCACATGCTTCCTTATACTGAGTTCCCTGCAAGGATTCGGTGCTGGTGGGTATTTAAGAACATTGCATCTGACCAAGCAAATGCAGTGTTAAAAAAAAAAAAAAAAAGGCAATAAGAAAACAGAGGAAAAAACACACACAATCCCTAAATCGCTACAAAGACTGTTTTCAATGCATTGTGGCTGCTCTCATTATGTTTCCAGTACCAATCAAAAAGTTGACAAAGCTGTTAAGAAAATAGCGTGTATTTCTTCTTTCCTGATGTTGTTTCTATATTCACACCATCCAGAGCCAGCTTCCCAATCATAGAGGAGGTAATGATATTTTGCAGAAACAATGGTTGGTATTGTGGAAATAGACTTTTAACAAGTATGTGATGAGCAGATGGTGCTATTTTTGACTCTGGTAAAAAATTTGATTTTAATAATAAATTTATTTTAATAAGAAGCTGTGCAAACCAAAACTGAAGACATGTGATCAGCATTCTCATTCAACAATGGGTTATGAGCTTTCAGGCTTCTGAAAGAGTTGTTTTTTTTTTATAGCTTCGTCTGTCTTTTCTTTCCTGTTTTGGAGAGAGGATTTCTTCCTTCTACCATTCCAGAAGTCCCAACAAATCATGATTATAATTTTAAAACTGGAATAAAAACTTCCATTTGAATAAAAGGAATACATATTATTAGAATTTGAAAGAACCAGTATAGCTGAAGAAGAAGGCTCATCTTTTATTCATTGCATATATCTTGCATGAGACTACTTTACTAGTTTGAGTTAACGTATTTATTTTACGTAATCGTGGGAACGTTTGGGCTATGGTAATTTAGTGACATTTTACAAAAACATAATTTTGCAGGGACTTGGACAAACTAACTGTTCTGGTTCCTTTCTTAATTTCCCAATCTCAGATGAGCTCTAAGTCCTGTTGCCACAGGCCTGTGGTCCTCATATGAGTCCAGCATATTTCCAGCTGCTGCTCAACACAGTCCCACTCAGCACAGTGTGCACTAAGGCACCTCAGTGGGCAAAGGGAACACAGGTTACTGTTGTGCTTTTGACCGTGTGCATCTGTTCACCTCTCCTCCGAGTGCATATCTCCTGACCAGGATCACGAGATGAAAATGTTTTTCTTACTCAGATGCCTGAAAACTAGAAGGCAACAAATGAATTCTTAGTACTCTAGGTTAGCAGTCCCCACCTTTTTGGTACCAGGGACCAGTTTCATGAAAGACAATTTTTCCGTGGACAGGGAATGGTTTGGAAATGATTCAAGTGCATTTACATTTATTGTGCTCTTTATTTCTACTATGATTACATACTCAGCATAATGTAGGATCAGTGTGAGCCCTGAGCTCATTTTCCTGCAGCTAAATAGTCCCATCTGGGGGTGATGGGAGACAGTGACAGATCATCAGGCATTTGATTCTCATAAGAAGCTCACAATCTGGATCTTTCGTATGCAAGCACAGTTCACAGTAGGGTTCACACTCCTGTGAGAATCTATTGCCACTGCTGATCTGACAGGAGGCAGAGCTCAGATGGTAATGAGAGCAATGGGAAGTGGCTGTAAATACAGCTAAAGCTTTGCGTCATGCTTGCCTGTCACTAACCTCCTGCTGTGAGGCCCAGCTCCTAACAGGCCACAAACTGGTACTGGTCCATGGCCTAGGGGTTGGGGACCCCTGCTCTAGGTTTTTCAATAATTCTTGGTTTACACACTGAGCATGGCTTCACAGACATAGAAAAACAGAAATCACGCAACCATTGAAGTTTCTCTGATCCACAGAAAAAGAAATAAGCATCAACTATAGGCTGGTAGAATTCAACTTCTGTTTATCTTGATTGAGGAATTCAGGTCTCCAGATTGGGGAGAGGATACATTTCTGTTGTTTTAAACTGCCAAATTTAGCTATGTGCATGGCAGTGCTCAGAAAGGCATTCAACAGCTGGTGCTGGTACAAATGTTTGCAAATCAATGGAAACCTAAGATGTGTTGCAATATTTAACTTAAACCTGTTTTCTGAGAGAGTCATTATATATATATAATGTATATATACACATTTTATATATATTACAGTATACAAATATAGTATATATATTATATTACATACATAATATATAAATATTATTATATATAACATACATATAATGTCTACCTTTGAATTGTATTGTTAAGAACAATAACATTCTGTAATATCGTTTTTGTCAAGTTCAGGGGCCAATGATTTATGCAACCAAAGATAATTAATATACAAACATAAGGTAAAAGTTCTCCCTGACTCCATGGCTGCTTTAACTTGCTCCGAAATCATGCTTTTGGGGTTTTTATTGTTTAAATTGCTTTCTAAATAGCATTTTAGCCTTTATCCGGACACAACTAATCATTAAAAATTCAAAGACACATTCATGGTATCTTTATTGTGATAAAAGTAAATTAGATGAAATAACTTATTAACTCCTTTTTTTAGGAAAAGATGGCCACTTTATATTTTGTTCCTTTTTCATACTCCCTATTTCTATAAAGTTTACCTAGATGCTCACTGCATTTCCAGGTAGGCAAGATAGTTAAGGAAGTTCAGAAGGAATAGTTTGTTCATAACAGCTTTCTTGAGATATAATTCACACACCATAATATTCATCATTTGAAAGTGTATAGTTATTATCCTTCGCCCAATTTTTAATGGGGTTGTTTGATTTTTTCTTGTAAATTTGTTTAAGTTCTTTGTAGATTCTGGATATTAGCCCTTTGTCAGATGGGTAGATTGCAAAAATTTTCTCCCATTCTGTAGGTTGCCTGTTCACTCTGATGGTAGTTCCTTTTGCTGTGCAGAAGCTCTTTAGTTTAATTAGATCCCATTTGTCAATGTAGGCTTTTGCTGTCATTGCTTTTGGTGTTTTAGACATGAAGTCCTTGCCCATGCCTATGTCCTGAATGGTATTGCCTAGGTTTTCTTCTAGGATTTTTATGGTTTTAGGTCTAACATTTAAGTCTTTAATCCATCTTGAATTAATTTTTATATAAGGTTTAAGGAAGGGATCTAGTTTCAGCTTTCTACGTATGGCTAGCCAGTTTTCCCAGCACCATTTCTTACATAGGGAATCCTTTCCCCATTTCTTGTTTTTGTCAGGTTTGTCAAATATCAGATGGTTGTAGATGTGTGGTATTATTTCTGAGGGCTCTGTTCTGTTCCATTGGTCTATATCTCTGTTTTGGTACCAGTACCATGCTGTTTTGGTTACTGTAGCCTTGTAGTATAGTTTGAAGTCAGGTAGCATGATGCCTCCAGTTTGTTCTTTTGGCTTAGGATTGTCTTGGCAATGTGGGCTCTTTTTTGGTTCCATATGAACTGTAAAGTAGTTTTTTCCAATTCTGTGAAGAAAGTCATTGGTAGCTTGATGGCGATGGCATTGAATCTATAAATTACCTTGGGCAGTATGACCATTTTCACAATATTGATTCTTTCTATCCATGAGCAAGAAGACATTTATGCAGCCAACAGACACATGAAAAAATGCCCATCATCACTGGCCATCAGAGCAATGCAAATCAAAACCACAATGAGATGCCATCTCACACCAGTTAGAATGGTGATCATTAAAAAGTCAGGAAACAACAGGTGTGGAGAGGATGTGGAGAAATAGGAACACTTTTACACTGTTGGTGGGACTGTAAACTAGTTCCACCATTGTGGAAGACAGTGTGGTGATTCCTCAAGGATCTAGAACTAGAAATACCATTTGACCCAGCCATCCCATTACTGGGTGTACACCCAAAGGATTATAAATCATGCTGCTATAAAGACACATGCACACATATGTTTATTGTGGCACTATTCACAATAGCAAACACTTGGAACCAACCCAAATGTCCATCAGTGATAGACTGGATTAAGAAAACGTGGCACATATGCACCATGGAATACTATGCAGCCATAAAAAAGGATGAGTTCCTGTCCGTTGCAGGGACATGGGTAAAGCTGGAAACCATCATTCTGAGCAAACTATCGCAAGGACAGAAAACCAAACACCGCATGTTCTCACTCATAGGTGAGAATTGAACAATGAGAACACTTGGACACAGGATGGGAAACATCATACACCGGGGCCTGTCGTGGGGTGGGGGGTGCGGGGAGGGATAGCATTAGGAGATATACCTAATGTAAATGATAAGTTAATGGGTGCAGCACACCAACATGGCACATGTATACATATGTAACAAACCTGCATGTTGTGCACAGGTACCCTAGAACTTAAAGTATAATAAAAAAAATGTGTATAGTTCTATGGTCTTTATTATGTTCAAAGAGTTGTGCAACCCATCACATCTATCTAATTCCAGATGATTTCATCACTCCAAAGGGAACTCTGTACCTGTGAGCAATTCATTCCCCTTTCTTCCTTTTCTCACTCCTGGCATTGCTAATCTGCTTTTTGTCTCTATGGATTTGCCTATTCTGGACATTGTGCATACGTAGCATTATACAATGTGTGACCTTTTTATCTGGCTTCTTTTACTTAGCACAATGTTTTCAAGGTACATCCATGTGCTCTCCTGTAGGAGTCTTTCTTAGTCTCATACAAATTATATTTGTTAAATTAAAACTTCTTATAGTATCGATACTATGCAAATGCTACGACTATGGCTGACTTTAAACTACTAACTTGACATCACAGAATATGGGGCTGGGAAGATAATGCACTTCACATTAGCACATGGTCTTATAGGATTCCCAGTGTACAGATACATTAGTCACAAACAATCTCTAGACCCTGGGCAGTAATTTGATGTACTAAAAATAATTAGAATGTGAAGAGTTTTGAGTGTTTCTTACTTTTTAAATGTGATTTATATAATTATAAGTTTATAGCCATTAATTTCTAATAATTGTTGCTTTAATGACTGGCTCACAAATTCCCTGAAAATTTAACAATTGACAGTCATATGCTGGAAGGAGCTGCCTTCTCATACCATTAGTAGAGCCAGGATTGGAGTGCTGAACATCTTCCTTCAGAGACTGAGCATGCAACCTCTGGCCACCTACCTTCCAGAACTGTCTACTATGGTTTCACACTTGAATCCATGACTATAACATATGGTTGATTCCCTCCTCCTGAAAATCCCCCCTCCTGCTCACTACAGTAGGTGGATCCTTCTCCAACATATCTTCCCTGACCATCCCCGCCTCGCCAAGTGCTGCCAAACACACATGGCAACTGCCAGTTCTGGAGAAGATGACCTGTCTATAATCCAAGACATTCTATTTCCATGAGGTTTTTCTTTATGTGACTTCAGGACAAGGAAAATTTTGATAATTTAATTTAATATTTTAATACTATTTGCATTTAATATTTCAATACTATTAATATTTTAATACCATTTAATTACTGTATAAAATCCTACTTATAAATTATATATTACATGTATTGCCCAGTAATAAAAGCCATTACTTTCAATGGCAAAAACCACAATTACTTTTGCACCAACCTAATACTTATAAAACATAGAGTGTAAAATATTTTATATAAATGCATATCATATTTTATATTGTAATATAGTATATACTTAATCTTATAGTAAATCCCACACATTAAATTATAAGATCCTTACTATAGTCCAAACATTATAATTTAGACCATATAATTTAATGTGTAATGTTTAATGTATAAGATTTAATATACCATATTGGCTCATGTAATCAACATTAGAATTCTGTTGGAAAGATATTTTCCTTCATTTTGCATATGAGGAAACTGAGGCTGAGAGAGTTACAGAGCATGTACAAGGTCCCCCCAATGTAAGTTTTGGAATCTACATTAAAGGTAAGAACTCTCTGAGTCTCCTATGTGCAATGATCAGGCTGGTGGGAGGGCAAGGTGCATCCTAGAAATGTCACTATTTTGTCTGGTTTAATGCATCCTTAAAGTATTACCATATTATCTGGTTTAATGCACCCTAGAAGTGTTACCGTATTACCTGGTTTAATGCATCCTCAAAGTGTTACCATACTGTCTGATTTAATGCCCCCTAGAAGTGTTGCCATATTATCTGATTTAATGGATGCCAGAAGTGTCACTACATTATCTGGTTTAATGGTAAGTTATGTGGCTACAATGTATGTCAGTGGGTGAATTTTCTTAGGGGCTGTGCTAATTTATTTTTATGACCTTGAGTTTATGGCCATGAATAGAACTGCTTTTTGTCTCTGAAGTATACCATATAAATAATATATTGGAACATATTTTGATTTTTAGTTAGATCTTGGGTTTTAATAATTCTCATCTAGGATTTTTACATAAATTGTTATTACAGATTTTAGCAAAGATGGGTTTTATTTTCTGTGTCTTTTTCTCAAACTACTTGATCTTTTCTTTTCTTTTTTTTCTTTGTTGCCCTATTCATCTTTTTTTAGCCTTTTAGTTTCATTTTCTTTTTCTTTTGAGACAAAGTCTCGCTCTTGTCCCCCAGGCTGGAGTGCGATGGCACAATCTCAGCTCACTGCAACCTCCGCCTCCCCGATTCAGGCGATTCTCCTGCCTCAGCACCCCTTGAGTATCTGGGATTACAGGTGCCTGCCACCACGGCCGGCTTATTTTTGTATTTTTAGTATGGATGGGGTTTCACCATGTTGTCCAGGCTGGTCTAGAACTCCTGACCTCAGGTGATCCACCCGCCTCGGCCTCCCAAAGTGCTGGGATTACAGGCGTGAGTCACTGAGTCCCACCTTAGTTTCATTTTCTTTCCACTGTCGTAAAGGATATGTTGGCTGATGGCCTGGGTATTTAAAAAATCATAAATATCTATAATCCCCAGAGCATTAACTCTGCCTAATATTTATGTGCAAATCTCTACCAGTTTACGTATTCATTTCAGAATAGAATTCCATTTACTATAGAGCTCTCTGCCAGCCTATGCCTGTACATTTATAATCATGACAAATTATGTAGCTGTCTGAGGGCCAGCACAATATCCTCATTCCAGATAACATCTATCACTCTCACTGTTAAATAAAATTACTCTCCAAGAAATTTACAAATCTTTTGTTATTGTGGAATTCTTAAAATACCATTTGTAAGTACTTTAAAAAGTTGGTTTTAAAGATTCAGAGACGTGTGAATATCTCTGTAACACAGTAATTAAAACCCAGGCCATAAAGGTAAATCCTGGCATATCACATTGTGTCCATCTGACTGTGGGTCTCCTTGCAGTGAGGATAATAATAGCACGCACTTCTTAGGGAAGTTGTGAAGAATAAATAGAT
Source organism: Homo sapiens (assembly GCF_000001405.40). Classification (NCBI taxonomy): domain Eukaryota; kingdom Metazoa; phylum Chordata; class Mammalia; order Primates; family Hominidae; genus Homo; species Homo sapiens. The sequence goes on along the minus strand of NC_000012.12, from coordinate 127,045,383 downwards.
TCAAACATGTAAATTAATCAGAATAGCATTTGCCACACTGCAAATGATTGGTACCATTATTACTTTCTGTCAGATAATTGTGCCTAGTTATAAATTTGCTAAGAGGTTTGCAAGAGATAAATGAATGGTATAAATCACCAAAAGGTAGGATTGCTTATTATAACTAATAATCAGCATAGATACTCCTTGTCTAATGTAAAAATAAAGGGAAATAAAATGGTCTCCCTGACCCTGGTGTAATCACTTCCAAGAAGTGATAATTCTGGAAGTAACTAAGAGTTCATGAGGCTAACTACCGGTCAGTGAAGTGTACTTTCCCATCAGGAAACATGATAAGCATGTAGTCATTTTTATTCCATAGTTCTGGCTCCTCCAAAGGCAAAGGAGATGGCATTTCTCCAGCTTAAGTTTCACTATGTAGTTTTAGGAAGTTAACATTAGCTGATATTACTACTATCCTTATCAGAAAATTGCTCTTTTGGAATTTAAGAAAATCTCTATGAAGAGGTACAAAGATTAGCAGCAGATGATGAGAACTGACTCCAGTCTGGGTCAGAGACCAAGGAGGGTATCAATGTTCCTTTACTTTAATGCTATAATCTGATCCTAAGCAGTAAAGCAAACTCAAGCGATTTTCTGAGAACCATCATAGGACAATTTTAACTCCATGAAGTTAATCTGTCAGATTATATATTTTAGAACGTATCTGATATCATTCCAGATGTTTCCTTGGCTAAACATTCTTAAATTACTGTGACAACAATCTATACGTTACTTATTTGCTAATATTGTCCTATTAGTTTGGAACTTCAAAGCTCCTGACCAGCTGAAGAAAGGTGATCCTCAAAAACATGAACCATGAGAGAGTGGCAAGAAGTTAGAAATGTACTATTGGTAATGAGATTATCAAGCAGGCTTTGTTGTACCAAAGGTTTGTCTCACCTGAGGTTATGTCTTTCCAACTAGGTTCATGATAGGAGAACATATTGCTAATAACAATAGTTCATATAAATTGACCCATACACATATCAGGTTCTAATCATTGCATTTTAAATACATTATCGCTGCATCACTAGAACACTCCAAAAGGTAAATTCATCTATTATTCTCATTTTACAGACAAAGAAGTCGAGGCTTAGTAAAGCCAAGAAACTCTCCCAGGGTTATACCATTAAGAATTGGTTATAGACTAGATTCAAGTAAGTTTAATGTTAGAGACTGAGTTCTTAGCCATTGTGTATTATTGACTCTCCTACTTTTACTGGCAGAAACTAAAGTGTTGTTACTGTGTTGTTTTGTTTTAACCAAGCATTTGGTGTAATTATTTTCATATTCAGACAAGCTACAGACTCCTTCAGGGGATAGCAAACTAATGACCTTCAGGACCAATTCAGTCCAATGCATGTTTTGTAAGAAAGAATTTAAAGCTACATCTGATTGTTTATACATGTTTATGCTACACTTGACACATACGGCCTGTGGCTGCTGCTCGTGACAGAGACCACATGGTCTGCAAAGCTACTATCTGGCTGCCCCTGGTGATACAGCCAGGCTTGAGCTTGAGGTATGATGATTACAGGTATCAATGGAACCACACCAAGAAGCATGGATCTCCTGTGGAGCATGATCATATAGGTGATGGGTTCCTAGCCGCCGAGGGTGACAAGCCCAACTCCGCTAAGAACCCAATCCCAGAGCTGACCCCAGATAGGCTCTTTCTGCCTCTTTTCCCAATGCTCACCTGCTGGAGTTCCTTCACTGTGGCTCAGCCTAGAGTCATTCTCATGTCTGGTATGATCTCACTAATACCGTGGCTCCAAATCCCCTTTTTGGATGACTTCATTTCACAATACTCTCCTCTCCCTACCTCTCAGGATGGCCTTCATAGGATCTTTCTCCAACTGAGGCATTTTCTTGTTTTTCTTCAGCAAGGCTAAGCCCCGCAGTGAACATGTCTGATTGGTTTCTTGTCTTTTTCCCTGCAGAATGCAGTCATGAGGTCCTCAAGGGTCCACACCTGGCATGTCCCAGGTGCATCCCATGGGTTGACTTTTCCGCCTGGATCTGCACGTGCCCCAACCTAGGCCTTCATTTAAGACCAACTTGGCCATCCTCTGTCAAACAACAGAGCCTAGCTGGAGTCTCCTAGAATGAGTCATGTTGTGAACCTGGAATACCTGATGTTCCAACCTTTTACCTGAAGATCCAGGCTGAGTTGTGACCCCTCTCTAAGCAGAAGCTTCACCAGGTGCATCAGGCCTGTTAGAGGGGGTCCCCAGAGTGTTTTCCCAGGATGGCAGTGTGTTAGAGGGCTCAAGAGCTCTGGGGGCTATAGAGTCTAAAATGCAGGGCCCGAAGGATTGTGGTTGTAATTATGGGATCCTATTGCCCTATGGAGATATAATTGCATCTTGAAATTATGAAGTATCTCAAAAAAAGTATCAGTTTTCATTTCTGTAACTATAACTGTCTTTCAGGTGGAGCACTTGCTTTCAACCCTCCGTTTATACAATATTATCCATCTTCCATTCATCCTTGTGCACGTCTCACACATACTGCTACAATATTCAGCCTGTGTTGTGAGTGCTGGAGAGAGACGGGGAGAAGCAAATATAACAGATTGGAATGTTTGCCCGTTAGGGGCTACATCACCCAGCACAGGCCAGGTCAGAGCAGACAGTCAATAAATATTTTTAAAATTAATAAACGAGCATGATCACTGTGGCCAATTAAAGATCTAGTAGCATAAGGAAAGAGTGTGGTAGGGGTGTTGGAAGAGAGTAGGGTTGACTAAGCAAATAAACAGGGAAATCAAGTGTGAACAGAGTGTGAAACTGCAAGGAAATAGATATCTTGTTATTCAGAAAGTTGGAAGCTCATAGCCTGATATGTAGAAAGGGCTGCATGTGTGAGCCAGAGTGAGAAGAGTGTGTTGTGGTCCATGCTGCATGGAAGTGTCAAGTGAATGATATTGACAGGTCTCAACCTAATAACTAAGAAAATAAATAGAAACAAGAAAAGGAAACAGCCCAATTTCCCTGAGTTTCAGCTCAACATATAAAATACACAATCACACACATATATAAATACACCCATCTGCACACTTCCTCTTTTTGTGTGAGCAGCTGGAATTTACTGTAGGTGAAACAAATGTGAAGGAGGTTGCGAAACATACAGGATTCTCAGTTACTATTTGAGACTTCTCAATCTGAGTCAGTCTTATAAAATAGTAACTGATTATTTTTAGTTTAAAGGGTAGCCTCAGTTGGGCACTTCAGCCGGATTATCATTGACGCTGGCATACATTAGACTAGAGTACATGTTGAAGCATGTCTTAAAATCCACCTTGTGTCTGCTTAATTGCTGATATGGTTTGGATCTGTGTCCCCAGAAAATCTCATGTTGAATTGTCATCCCCAGTGTTGAGGTGGGGCCTGGTGGGAGGTGAATGGATCATGGGGGCAGAGTTCTTATGAATGGTTTAGCACCATCTACCTTGGTACTGTATAATGATAGAGTTCTCACAGTATCTGGTTGTTTAAAATTGTGTGGCACCTCCCCACTTTCTCTCTTCCTCCTGCCCCGGCCATGTAAGATGTGCCTGCTTCCCCTTCACCTTCCACCATGATTGGAAGCTTCTTGAGGCTTCCCCAGAACCCAGAAGCAGAAGCTAGTACACTTCCTGTAGGGCCCGTGGAAACAGGAGCCAATTAAACCTCTTTTTTTTTTTTTGAGAATAAGTCTTAAAAAGAAGCACTCAGGCTGGAGTGCAGTGGTACAATCTTGGCTCACTGCAACCTCCACCTCCCAGATTCAAGCGATTCTCCCGCCTCAGCCTCTCGAGTAGCTGGGATTACAGGCATGTGCCACCACACCCACCTAATTTTTGTATTTTTAGTAGAGATGGGTTTTCACCATGTTGGCCAGGCTAGCTTCGAACTCCTGACCTCAAGTGATCCGCCCACCTTGGCCTCCCAAAGTGTTGGGATGACAGGCGTGAGCCACCGTGCGTGGCCCCTCTTTTCTTTATAAATTACCAAGTTTCAGGTATTTCTTTACAGCAATGTGGGAACTGCCTGATACAGTCACTCACATTTGCCGAGTGCTTATTTTATGCCAGATATGATCCAGAGCACCGTGCGGTCATGAACGCACGAGGCTGTCACAGTGATCCTGTGGCATTGTACCCATTTCACGTAGAAGAAATGGAGGTTTAGTGAGAATAAGGGTATAAACATATAAGTAGATAGATATTAATAGATAGGTGGGTAGATACGATTTTTCTGAACAAACACGTTGAAAAATAGCATTAAAAATATTATCAGTCATGTTTTTTATTCCAAAGCTTCTAAGGGCCTTCAGCGTGCATTGCTACCTCTCAAGATCAATATATGCCACATAACCCACAATAAACTTAACCAGAGATGCCTTTCCTCCACTAGCATCTAGGAGCACTAGATTTTCTAGAAATACTTTGAGAATCACTGATGATGCAACAGATCTCAAAATGCCTTGAAATTTGAATTCAAAATAATGTTTAAATATAAAATGGACTTTTGTGCTTTATTTCCAACAAATAGAAAGGAAAACTTACTCATGAAATTTAGGCAGCCCATCACACAGAACTAGGTGTTTTGTAATTTTTTGACTCAAAATTGGTAAGCCAGCATTAGAAGGAGTGAGAGTATTGTCTATCTTAAGCTGTGTATAGGGATGATTGCAGCATATAGCCCCAAGGCCATACTGACAGCAAGGTCTTATCTCAGAAGATGGGGAGCTCTATTCTCTCCCTGTATTAGTCTGTTTTCATGCTGCTGATAAAGACGTACCTGAAACTTGGTAATTTATAAAAGGAAAGAGGTTTAGTGGACTCACAGTTCCACATGGCTGGGGAGACCTCACAATCACGGTGGAAGGCGAAAGGCACACCTTACATAGTGGCAGGCAAGAGAAAAAGAGAACCAAAGGAAAGGGGAAACCCCTTGTAAACCCATCAGCTCTTGTGAGACTTATTCACTAACACAAGAACGGGGTAGGGGAAACCGCCCCCATGATTCAATTATCTCCCACCAGGTCTCTCCCACAACACGTGGGAATTATGGGAGCAACAATTCAAGATGAGATTTGGGTGGGGACACAGCCAAACCATATCACTTCCCCATTGTGTATCTTAATTTACTCGCCCAACATCATCCTTCAAGAATTGCCCACTTCTTCATTTCTGTACTTTTTCCACACAACATAGACAAATACTTAGATACACACACACACACACACACACCCTTATAAAATTAATGTCTTTCTGAACATATGGCCATAGCTTTTTATCACACTAACATTATCGAAATCTTCGTCTCTTTCTCTCTCTCTCTCACTCACTCACTCCTGCTCTCGCTCTCTCTCTGTCACACTCTGTGTGTGTGTAAATTCCAAGAAATGTAATGGGGAAATATATTTAAAACCATTAACCTTTTTAGTATCTGCAAGGTTGAGATTCAGGACAGTTAGGCAGATATGATACAGAAAGGGGATTTCCATTTGTTATTTAACCTGTACATTCTGTACATTTATTTAAACTGTACATTTATTTAAACTACCAAAACATACATTGTTTTGATAGTTTAAATAAATACTTTTAATAACTAAAATAACACATGTGTCCTAAGTCAAAGAATTTCTTGGTCCCAATTTACCTCCATGAATTTGAAACAAAGAAGCTAAATTTGAAATCTATTAGGCAATTGGCAACATAGAACACTGAATAATGCGTCCTGAAGCATCTTTGTAGTTTGAAGTGCTTTCTCCTTTATAAATGAGTTTGTGCTGCACAAATGGGTGCTCATAGATACTTGACAGAAATGTCCAGGCCTCTGCAGCACATTGTGTATAAAAGGGATAAGGGAGGCTGAGGCGGGCAGATCACCTGAGGTCAGGAGTTCAAGACCAGCCTAGCTAACTTGTTGAAAACCTGTTTCTACTAAAAAAAAAAAAAAAAAATTAGCCAGGCATGGTGGTGCATGCCTGTAATCCCAGCTTCTTGGGAGGCTGAGGCAGGAGAATTGCTTGAACCCGGAAGGCGGAGGTTGCAGTGAGCTGAGATTGCACCATTGCACTCCAGCTTGGGCAACAAGAGCGAAACTCCATCTCAAAAAAAAAAAAAAAAAAAGGGATGAAAGGCTGTAACCCAGTTTCCTCTAGGAGTTAAACACAGGAGATGGTCCGCTTGCCCGCTGGTTTCAGGCGGAGCCCGCCTGCTTGGGGACTATAAGTCGCATTGTTTGAGGCTCCTGGTGAGCACATGGGATGCCCAGGGACCTTCAGAAGCAATTCATGTTTCTAACTAACTCTTTTAGCAACTCATTCCATGAGACATTTATTGGCAACAAGAACTTGTTTAGAGACATTCACAGAAGCAGAGATAGAGAAATGCATAAGCGTGAATAATTATCTGCAGGAGATAATTGACGACATAGATCCCATGGGTGGAGAAAGACAAAGCCTTTTTCCCGTGTTTGATCCCCTCTCTTCGTGATGAAAGTGACTTGTTTCATGCAGTTGATGACATACCTCAGATTCATCATCATTAGTGTTCCGTTTAACAGGATCTACCAGCTCCACGTGTGACAGTTTTTATTCTGGTAGGCTTTCAATTAAACTCCATAGATAAAAGGTATTTTTACTTCAAAGACATGTAAAATCATCTTTCACTAATGAGTAGATTTGAATGACACAGTTTCACAAGACTGTATCCGACTACCATGAAAACCGTTAGAAGTTTCTTCTTTTCAGTCACTGATTGCCATGTTCCATAAACAGCATGATTTTTATGTTTAATATATAGTGGTGAACACAGCCTACAGAGTCAGGGCCTGAAAAAAAATAAGCCAAACTTTGAAAAGTGTTCACAGAAGTGTAAAAGAATGAATAAAAGCAGAAGGTCCAGTTCTTTCCATGTTTGTAGCTCATGGAAAGTTTGTCCTGGTCACATGTACTGCCACAGTGTGTTTTGTAGTGACTGTTTCCAAGACTCCCCCAGGATTGCAGCAGACACAGCTTGGGGAGGAGGGAGTGGGGCAGAAGGGAGGGTGGGGCTGGCTTTGACCTTGACACACTGGCCCCTTGGTCATTCTGATGGTGTGGGAACCCAGTAGGCCTCAGTTTTCTTGGCTGAATTAAATTTTTCCTGAACTAAAATAGAGTAAGAATCCTGTAAACATGCTTTCGGGCCATGCTTTCGTTTAAAATAAGTCAGGATGGATACGTACATCCATACATACACATGTATATACAATTTTGTAAATACTTATATTGTAAATACTTATATTTCACATATATACCTATAACTATATATTATATATACCTATATTTCACATATATAAAGGGAGATAGATATAGATATACACACATTTGTGTGGCAGGATAAATATAAACAGAAAGAAACAGCAGGATGGAAATATTTTATAGATACAGACATAGATATAGAAAACTCCTGGCCCTGGCCCTCTCCTCTTCCCTGCACTCTCCTGCCCAACATATATATACACACACACACACATATATGTATTTATTTCTACACACACATATATACATACATATACACGCACACACACATATATGTGTATACAGTATGTCCTCACTTAAAGTCATAAATATGTTGATAGGTTCTTAGAAACTACAACTTTAAGTGAAAAGATGTATGGTAGGTCCTCAAACAACGTCGTTTCCTTCAACATTATCTGGTTATAATGTTGATGAGAAAAAACACCGGCTCTGCCGTATGTCTTTCTCTTAAAGTCGCAGTTTCCAAGAGCCTATTAATGACATTAAGTGAGAAATTATACATCCTGCCACTCTTTCTTTTTTACATCTCATATTTACACCATTTACATGTAAAGTAATTACTGATATGTCAGAGTTTAATTCTGCTATGTTTTTATTTGTTTTTTTTTTCTCTGCTTCTTGTTCCTCTGTGTCTTTTTGTGTCCTCATGTGGGATGCATGAAAAGGTTTTAGAATTCCATCTTTTATCATCTTATTGAGCACATTGCATTGTATGGTTTTCTTAGTAGATGCTCTAGTTATTGTATGTGTGTGTGCGTGTGTGTGTGTGTGTGTGTGTGTGTGCGTGTGTGTGTATAAAAACAGAAAGTCTAGTTTCCTCAATGTTTGTAACTTGTGAAAGTTCAGTCCTGGTCACATGCATTGTCACTGTGCTTTGTGGGGTCTGTTTTCAAGGTACCATGTTACCATATGGTCATACACACACTCACATACACACACAAACACTAGGTATCACAGGATGCAGGTATAGATATGGTACCCCTTTGAATGAAGCGTAGAAATCTTACTTCCATTTCTGTCCCTTTGCTCTCCTCACTTTTCAAATATAATTTTCCTACATAATCTCCTCTGCATACGTTGATCACTACAATAGATAATAAGTTCGCTTCGATCCTAAAATATGATTAAAGACACTCAGGAGGTGAAAGATAGTCTATTTTATTTGCTTCTATTTTTATATATAATTCTGTTTTCTTTCTTTCTGAGGGTCAACATTTTCTTCTGCTACCATTTTACTTTGTTTGGAGAGGTCCCTATTACTATTCTTTCAGGGTATATCTTGTAGTAACATATTCTCTTCGTTACATTTTAACAGAAAATGCTTTTTTTGTTTCATTTCTGAAGGATTATTTCACCAGATATAGGATTTTGATTTTATGTGTTTTTTTCTTTAAGTATTTGAACAATGTTGCCCCAATTTCTTCTCATTTCTGTCATTTCAGATGAGAAATTCATTGTCCTTTGAATTGGTATTTAATAAATAATGTATATTTTTCTCTCTGTTTTTAATCTTTTCTTGTTGCTTTCAGTTTTTGGAAGTTTAATTATGGCATATCTTGGTGTGGCTTTCTTTGGGTTTATCTCATTTGAAATATTCTCAGCTTCTTGAATCTGTAGGTTGATGTCTTTTTGCCAAATTTGGGAAGTTTCTAGACGTTATTTCTTTGAAAAGCAGTTCAGTCCTACACTTGTTTTTATCTCTTTCTGTGACTCTAATGATATAAAACTTAAGCCTTTTTTTATTGACCCACAGATCCCGAATGCTCTGTTCATTTTTTTTCCATCAACTTCTCTTTCATTCAAATCAAGTAAATTTTATCCATCTTCCTTCTGTTCCACTGAATCTCTTCTATCTCCACTCTACTATTGAGCCTATCCAGCTTGGTTTTTTTTCTTTCTTTTGCATTTTTCAGTTCTATAATTCCCATTTGGTCTTTCAAAATAACTTCTACTTCGTTACTGAGATTTTGTAATTTTTTCATTTGTCTCAAGAGAATTGTAGTTTCTTGTCAAAGTATTTTTTATGATGGCTGCTTTCAAATCCTTGTCAGATAATTCTAACATCTGATTCATCTCAGTATTTGTATCTGTGCTTATTCTTTCCTCAAACTGCGGATTCCCTGGTTCTTGGTATATTGAGTGATTTTCAACTGTATCCTGAAAATGGTTATTGTTCTTTAAAAGACATTGAGTCCTATTCAAGTCTTTTCTTTTAGCAGGCATTAGGCTTGTTTAGGTTTGGCGTATGTCTAGCATATATTTTTGGTACGTGGTTTGAGTAACAGTTTAGTTTTCAGAGCCCTTTTAGTGCTTCTCTGTTCTGCTTTATTCTTCTGGTGCTGCCGGGCTCACACCCAATCCTGGCTGGTGCCGCCTGCAGCTATAGAAAGTGCTTTCCTGGGCCACCTCCCATGGGGTGGCAGATGATGCTGGTCCTTGGTCTCCTGATGCCATTGAATACAGCACCAGGTGTGGATCAGCCTATGTGGGCTTCATTGTTGCCACTGTGGGTGGGTCAGCTCGCTGGTGCTATAGGTGTGTAGCAATGGTTGAGTTGGTTCCCTGGTGCTCTGATATGCTGCAGGCAGATTAGCCAACAAATGCCCCAGGTGTGCAGCAGCTGTCTGCTTGCTGCCCCTTACCCCAGTTCTACAACCAGAGAAAGCTGCTTTTCTTGGAGTATTTTGCCGATGCCTATTGGGGGTGTCCAGATTGTAATCCTTTCTGGTGGCAGCCTGGGAGATGTGTGGGAAGTCAAAGTAAAACCAAGAGACTTCACCACTTTGTTATTCAAGTCTTGAGGTCCCCAGCTAGTCTGCGTTCTTTCTTCCACATTCAGAGTCCTTCCATTGCTCTCTGTTGAGTCATATCTAGGATTGCTAGTTGTATTTATGAGTGAAGAGTAGGAGAAAGTGCGTATACACCACCTTGTCTTGGTACCAGAAGTTTATATGAGCGCATCTCTTTTTATTTATTTATTTATTTTTTTGAGACAGAGCCTCGCTCTGTCGTCCAGGCTGGAGTGCAACAGTGTGGTCTCGGCTCACTGCAACCTCCGCCTCCTGGGTTCAACCGATTCTCCTGCCTCAGCCTCCCGAGTAGCTAGGATTACAGGCACCCGCCACCATGCCCGGCTTTTTTTTTTTTTTTTTTTTGTATTTTTAGTAGAGACGGTGTTCCACCATGTTGGCCAGGCTGGTCTCGAACACCTGACCTCGTGATCCACCCGCCTTAGCCTCCCAAAGTGCTGGGATTATAGGCATGAGCCACCGTGCCTGACAGTAGCACATCTCTTAAAAGGCTACAGCGTTTCATCTCTTTTTTTCTATTAACACACTTCATTTTTAATATTAACACAAGGTGACACAACTAGCAAAAGAGATGGGTTCCCCACACCTGTGCCTCCTGACTGCTGTCATTCATTGTGAATTGACATAGGTGTTCCATTAGCCTGGAACAAAACTAGCAGAGCTTCTCAATTCTTGTTAAAGAATGATAGCTTTCTTTTCAGAGAGAAAAGGGTGACGTTTATACAAAAACTGACAGGCTTTAGAATAAATATTTATCTGGCAGGAGAAGAAACTTAGACATATCAGATTATCTTAAGAAAATCATACATAGCTGGTAGAATCAACTTTGGCTAAAGAGGGGAATAATATGATGAATAGCAAACATTATATGTGCAAATAATTTCACATTATAGATACCTATTGTTTTCGCTTTCCATAAACTGTGGCAATCAAAATAAAAATGATAAACTGGTGGGGGAAACGTGGCGACTGGGAATCTGAGGGAGGACATTTGTGTTTGGCTCCATCAAATTATGTACCTTTTTATTATCCAAGTTAATGGTATTGTGTTTATAAGCGTTTGTGCCCTAATTCATTTCCTCAGGCTGCGGACAATTTCCTTGTGCTCAACCAAATTCATAAGTCCTCCTGGTAGATAATTCTGCTTCACAGTTTGTTCCCCAAATGAGTTTAGTTTGAATGGAGCTTCCAGTCTGAAACCATACACATCTTCCTCATTCTTCCGTCTCTGCCAAAGCCCTGTCCTGCACACTCCGACCCTCCTAGTCCATCTCACAATGGATGCTCCGCGCAACACGGGACGTTCCAAGCAGTTCACATAGCTTCATTTATGGTATATAGCATAGCTGGACTTACCAGATGAAGTACAGGAAACCCCAGTTAAATTTGACTATAAGATAAATAGTGAATAATTTTATAGTAGAGTATGTCTCAGATATTGTATGGAACATACTTCTGCTAAAAGTATGCATTATTTATCTGCAATTCAAATTTACCACCATGCACTTTTATTTGCGAAGTCTGACAATCTTCTATTGAGGTCATCATGTTTCCACCTTCCAAAACATATCTGTCAGAAAATATGCATTTTTACTCTAGTTCAAGATGACTAGTTTAAAGAAAGCTGTGGTAAAACTTAAATGCTATCTTCCTTAATTCCTTTACTTTGTACTGACCAAATCAAAAACACACTCTAATGTGGCCACTGAATCAATGCAATAAGAAAACTTGGAGCATTATTATCACATTTCCTGTCCAATGCTATTTATGTGAATTAAGAAAATGCACAAAATATTACAACGTATTTTGCAATAAGATGTGTCAGGGTCAAGCACATGTCACAAATATATCTGAGTTCTGTTTATACAGGAGAAAGAGATGAAGAAGACATTTGTATCAGGGGGGAAATGAAATACAACCGTAACAGGGACACATAAAAACCCTTGATGTTTCTGTGCCATGAGATGAGGAGTACAATTAAATCAAATCTCTGCATTTATATACAGACAAGAAAAGAAGACAAAAATAAAGAAACACGTTCTTGAAAGGAACACAGCATTTCTATCCAATGAAGAATGTGAAGATATCCTGGAATACATTTACGGCCCCTCAGCAATGCTGGTCTGAGAAGCACTGCCATCATGTTCACAAACTTTGGAATATGTTCATTTGAGCTTCCCTAGTTCTGCCACATACTCTCCAGACAACCTGGGACAAGTTTCTGAGCCTCAGTTTCCATATCGTAAAAGGGAAATAAGAATACTTACCCCCCTAGGATTTCTGCGAGAGTTAAATGAGATAATGTATTGAAAGTGTCTTGATACAAGACCTGACAAATTCATGCATGTATGATAAATGGCTTACTATTGTTATAGAATGGGATATGATATTATTATCTATATTTCTAATGTGTCTTCCAAACTACAATCTAAATATACAAGTAAATCAAGTATGTTTTAGGTTTTTCTCTGCCTCTCTTTACTCCCCAGCTCTCAATAAACACTTATACATGATTAATTGTAATTGAGTAAGGAGAATAAATTTAGATGAGAAACATAAAGAATAGTTTTTAAAAAGACAGAGAGACTCTAGGAAGTGGTGTCATGGGCTTTTAAGTTTAGAGTCAAGAAGCCCTGACTGTGATATGGGAGACAAATTCAGGAACCTACAGGAGCCAGCTTCTTCAAAATTATCCACTTTTTGATCCATCTTTTATCTTCTCATTTTTATTATGACGTAGATATAGAAACTATTTGTTTTCTTTTTTGTCTATAAAAACATCAGAGGTCCAACCACAGCAATATATAGAAACTAACACTGAAGCTAGCTTCAGGGAGGCAAAAGGGAGTGGTGGGGATTGTGGTAACATGGTGTGGATATCAGCACACACCCTGTTGAAAGGGAGCAGCTGGCTTCCTCAGGCGGGAAGGGAGGGCTGGTGTTGCCTGAGCTTCCAGTTTTTGATAAACTGATAAGAACACATATATTTGTGTCAAATCTCCCAATTTTAAAATAGTGACTCAGAAATATCTAAAGCAGTATGTGAGTAAAGTAAAAAAGAGTCCCATGCCTGCAGGACAAAATTGGGCACGTCAGGCTGTTGGGGCATATACTTTTTCTTTAAGTCACAAAGGAATGATTATCTTGTCTGCTACTTTTGTTTCAGATTAGAAAACCTGAGACCCAGACGGGGGAAACTGCTTTCCATGGTTAATCGTCAACAACTGGCCAGGATGGGACAGAAGCCCATACATAGCCTTCATTCCAGGGCTCAGAACAAAAAGAAGGCAGTGGCCTGGGCTGCACCTGAGCTTGGCTTCACATAGGAGGGATTCTGGAACGCAGGATCCTGACAACGACCTCAAGGTTAGAATGAATGCCAAAGATGCCTTTTTTGTGTGTGCTTTTCTTTTTTAAATAAAATACAAATTGCTTATTTCATCTGTAAAATGGGGAGTATCTCACAAACTCACAATTGTGGTATGAGGACTGAAATGATCACCTGGAGTGGCGATCCTAACCTCCAACTTTCCCTAAGAAAGAATTCCATTTTGTGCATAAAAATTCATGCTTGTAACTAGTGTGTTTATCCAAAATGAGACCAAGAGAAGATTATTTTCCTCCAATAGTGCAAGCTAATAAATAAGACACATTTTAAAGCTGTTTCTAATTAATAAAAGCATTATATCCATTAAAGAGTCGTAACTTAAATCTATCTTCTTAAAAGAAGTAGCTTACATTGCTCATAATTGTGTTAAATGTTAACACTTGCATCATGAGTTACTTCAGAGAAAGGGTAATAAGCCCCACGTGGCTCTCTGCCTCTCTTTGTTAAAAAGCGATCACAGAAACAGGCACACATGCGTTTAAAAAGAGGCCTCAGAAAAACATCTTTCCTGTAGAATTAACATTGATCTTCAATAGCTTGTCCCACTTTTGCATTCTTTTTCACAGATGAAATAGTTGTTCTCCATTGTAAGGCAAAACCGCTTTAAGAACTCAGGGTTCAATCCTGTTGCTATTCTCAGGATTTACTTCTGGTGTTATGGTGTTTTTTCTTTGTAATTTCATTACAAAAAATGTTTATAGGCTACTTCTGAGCCATAAGCTTTGATTACTTTAATGATCACACAACACATATTCTGTAAGCATGCTTTCGATGTGCATCCTGGTGTGTGAGTATTTAATTATATTACTTGAAACAATTCATAGCTGAGAAGAAGATAAGGTTAACTTTGGTAAGGGAGAATGTGAAAATTGCCCTCCAATTCTTTTCTAATGAAACTGTGTTTGTGTCTGTGTGTGTGTGTAGATATATATATATATATATGTGTGTGTGTGTGTAGATATATATATATGTGTGTGTGTATATATATATGTGTGTGTGTAGATATATATATGTGTGTGTAGATATATATATGTGTGTGTAGATATATATATGTGTGTGTATATATATATGATACATATATCTATACACATATAATACATATCTAAGATATATATATCTTATATATGTATCATATCTATATCTATATATATATAGATATAAAATATATATAACACAACAAAATATTCCCTAAACATTTTGTGTCAATCCTATGTTAGGCAGTGAACTCCAAATTTGACCAAGACGCAGCCTTTGTCCTGTTATTTTTATAACCTCCAAGGGAGGACACGGCGCCTGTGGAGGTCATCATTTTGATCATTTCGCAAGGTAGACGCTGGCCAGGATGATGACAGAGATGTAGACCTGATGCCCAGAATCTCAGGAGTGTGAACGTCTTGTTTTCCCATCATAAAACAGGAAACGTCATTCCTGGGGAAGAACACCCAATGAACAGGCACCTCCTTAGAGAGATGGTGCATTTTTAACTAGGAAGAAAGGAAACATATGTTCAATGTAAGGACAACCTTTACAAATGGGAAGAAGAGAGATCTTGGCTGATTTTACCTCTGTAATTATGGCAAAGGGACAATTGAATGGGTGGAAAGTGAACATGCAGTCCTTCCTTTGGAGTAAGGTTATTAATTTTGGTTTTACCTCTGTATCTCATTTATGCAAGGTTCAGGAAATATTCTGTGATGATAGCTGTATTAGATTCCTAGGGGCTACATAATAAAGTACCATTACCATCAACTACTTGGCTTAACACAAAAGAAATTCTTGTCTCACAGTTCTGGAGCCTGGAAATCTAGAATCAAGGTGCCACAGGGTTGCTCTCTACTGGAGGCTCTGAGGGAAAGTCTATTCCATGCGTCTCTCTGAGATTCTGATAGTTTCCCACACGCTTGGGTGACCCTTGGCTCGTGGACATATCACTCTAGTCACTGCTTCAGTCTTCACACGATGGTATCCCTGCGAGTTTATCTGTTTTCTCTCATTATACAAACACCAGTCATATTGGACAAGGGGCCCATCCTCCTCCCGTATGACTCCATCTCAACCCAATTACATCTGCGGAGACCCTATTTCCAAATAAGGTTGCACTTCACATGTATCAAGATTTAGGACTTCAACATATCTCTTAGGGAGACACATTTCAGTGCACAAAATGGTACTTACAATAAATATTTTACGTGGGCTCAAGTATATATAAGTAGCCTGAAGAGTTCCATAGACAACCATATAAACATGAGTGGATTTCCAAAATACAGTGCTAAGGAGAAAATGTTAAAACAAAAAAGACCAGGAATAAGAGCACAATACTATTTATTTATATGGAAACTGTGTCACCAGCTAATTACTATATATCTTTCAGGAATAAATATTTTTAAGCACAAATATCAAATATATTAGAGTAGTACCTATGGGGAAAAAAGAATGATGGGTGGGGATAGGGATGAGATGAGTGGTTTAAAACAATGGCCCTAGATTACTTTAAATTTGTCCCATTAAGATGTAGGTTCTATGTTTTTTCCCCTTGAGTTTGAGTGGGTTTTTGACAGTTTCAACCATTAAAGTATTGCAGAAGTGATGCCTTCAGCATATTTGGTTCTCTTGGGACACTTACTCTGGAGGAAGCCAGCTGACACATGGGAAGAAGCCATGTGCAAATACAGAGTCAACAGCCCCAGCTGAGCTACAAGTTGACAGGTGGCATCAGCTGCAGCCATGTGAGTGCACCATCTTAGACTTGCAGCTCAGTTGAGCCTTCAGATGATGGCAGCCCCAGCTGATAGCTTATTTTAATTGCAGGAGATCCCACACAAGACTACTGAGCTGATCCCTTGCTCTACAAAATTAAGAGTAAAATCATAGTTATAGGCCAGGCACGGTGGCTCACGCCTGTAATCCCAACACTTTGCGAGGCCGAGGTGGGCAGATCACGAGGTCAGATGTTCAAGACCAGCCTGACCAACATGGTGAAATCCTGTCTCTACTAAAAATAGAAAAATTAGTCAGGCATGGTGGTGGGTGCCTGTAATCCCAGCTACTCAGGAAGAAATTGCTTGAACACTGGAGGTGGAGGTTGTGGTGAGCTGAGATTGTACTATTGCACTCCAGCCTGGGCGACAGAGTGAGACTCCATTTCAAAAAAAAAAAAAAAAAATTCATAGTTGTGTTAAGTTGCTAAGTATTGGAGTCATTTGTTATACGGCAATTCTTAACTAGAACATAAACAGAAACAATGAAATTAAATAAAAAGGGAGGCCTTGAATGGGTGAATGTTGATGATGTCCTATTATACAGCAGGCAGTATATCAGAGTGAAGGTGACTGAGACGTACAGGGAGTGACAGGGAATGTGTTGACAAAGAGAGCACAGGATTGTCCAGAGAGGGCAACTCATTCAAACTCCAAAGAACAATGAGCACATCAAAGGAAACCTGTGAGCTAAATGCAGCTTCCAAGGCCCAGGGTTTGTTCTCAACTCTGATCTAGGTACATATTTACCCAGCTCCCCCATCTCTAAATCAAAGCAGACACACAAGTGCTTGGCACATTCCAATTGGTGAACACAGATTTTAAGATAATCCCCATCTTGAAGCACTCAAAAATATCAGGCAAGCAGCCCCCTATTTCCAGTGAAAAGATCAATGCAATTGCTAATGTAAATATTTAGATCTTAGAGATCTAGGTACAAAAATAAAATATTGATTTTATAGTTTTAGCTCTATATAGTTTTAAGACACATATTATACAAAATAACACAGGAACGTAGATATAATTTTCCACTTAATTAAAGAAACAATTTTATTCATATTGTTTTGGCTCACGTATTAGACTTCAGTGCTTTCTTCATCACTCATGGAGTTATCTGACTGGGTGCTCAGAATTCATCATATTCACTTCTGTCTATGTGTTTTAAGAGAAAAATACATATATATTATTTTCAATACAAGCACAGTGTGTATATATATACACACACACATATACGCATACATATACATATATACATATACACACACGTATACATATATACATATATACATATGTATATGTGTGTGTATATTTATGTATGCATACATATATACATATATGCATACATAATGTAGAAATATACATGTGTATACATATATGTATGTATTGAAATTACATGCATATACACATATGTATATATGTATGTCTGTGTGTGTGTGTGTGTATATATATATATATAGTGCTTGTTTTGAAAATAAACTAAACTACTTGTATCCATTTGCATTGCATTAAGGTCTTTTTGGTTGTTGTTGTGTAATGTTATATTGGCAGCTACTTACCACATTGTGTTTTCATAGGATCTTAAACTGCAGGTAGGAAACTAAACTTCAAGGTCTACCAGCCTGTAAGAATAATGACAAAATCGTTACTATGTGCCTTCATCCCTTTTCTCGCTAGTTGCATGAGTAGACTTCCTTTAGAATCTAACATTAGCACCAATAGAGGTTGTTTCTGGTTGATTGGTCTCCCCCAGATGTACTTTGTGTTAAACAATAATGTGATTGGGAGGTCAGCACATAACACGCACTATTTTTCTCAGCGTTAATGTGAGGGAAAGTTTTATTTTGTATTTAGGCATATAGGGGAATTGTCACCCTCCCTTACAATAAATGTTAGCATGCCCTGTGTGTCTTTACATTGCACAGAGAATCCTGGACTCAGCAAACTCTCTTCTGTTATGACGCCAACCCACCATGTTTATGTCCTGTGAGTACACAGGTCTCTAAAGGCATCAGTCTTCCAAGGCAGAGGGTGAAAAGGTGATGCTGAGGAGGTCCCTGATTGTCAGTGGTCTACCTCTACTTTCACTAAAGAGCCACTCACGTCTTAGTATCAGACGGCCTAGGTGGAAGTCACTATGAAATACCCACGTGCACATGCCTAACTTATTCTGATAAGTGTTGTGTTGCCAGAAGACAAGTTGGTGCCTAAAAACATACAACAGACTTAGAGGTAATCTGTAATTCATGGTGAAGTTCAACTCCTTTTAATTTTTCCCTGAAATGTACAAATGCCCATATCGTATGTCAACTCCTTTTTGAATCATAATGAGAAGATCACTTCATTTCAATTCCATCCATTCATTTCTTTCTATTTTCCCACAGTCATCCACTCTGTAAATGAATAATTATCACACATAAGAGAATAACAACATATGCACTGTTTGGCTTATAGGGTCAAAAATGGCAGACACAAAGAATTATTTTGGTAAACACTGACGAAAGTTTTTATGCTTTAATTATTGGCTGAAATGCAGTAGAGGTCACTGCTTGCTCATTCTCCCTTCCCCACACCCGCTAAATCACCTGTCAGTTTAAAGTAAATTTTAGTAGATTCAAAGCAAGACAAGTGACTTTTGTAACACAGCTCTGGGTATATCTCTCAGTGATGTGGGCATTTTGTGCCCTTGTTTCTTAGGAAAGCTCTTCTCTAAACCGATCTAGCCAGATGCAGAGCTTTGCATGAAAACATTCAATAGATAGAGAAATGGGAAAGGGTGACAGGGATCAAGGATGAAAATGGAGATTTCTCTCCTGTTAAGAAAATTGGTATCTTCTTACTACTATCAATTCGGCATGAAGGGAGAAATGGGTGTCTGCTCTGCCATCTTGCTGAAGTGCCATAGTGGGTAAAACAAACTCCACCCTCATTCATTCCATAGGTCAGAGCCAAAAGCTGCATTGGCCACTATAGTGGTTTTGTGAATGATAGAGCTGTCATGGACCAAAATGGAAACTGGAGAGAACAGTGTGTAAAGTTTTATGGGAAATTCTAATTAGAATCAGATGGAGGTTTTTTTGGTTTGTTTATTTGTTGTTGCTGTTGTTTTGGTTTGTTCTGTTTTAATGGACTTCTAATGTACGTGGGCACAGATAGATGCACAGTTAAAAAAGTAAGCAAAACAGGAAGGTAAAACTGAAATGAATTCCCAAGCTCTTATTGATAGAAGTGTGGGCATGATGGTAGGTGGTTATTATGCCATTGGTCTTGAAGGCTACTCGTGCCTTCATGTCTTGCCTTAAAAGACAGCTCTATTTTCCCTCCTCTAGTAATAGAGCCATTGTATCCCCTTGTGGCCATAGATAGTATTATATATACTCCAATTTCAAAATCTATAATTCAGTTGATCAAAATGTCAGGTTTTACCAAAAATACTTCACCAGGCAATGCAGAAGAGCCATGCCTGGGAATATTTTTCAATGATTACTCATTGGTACAATTCTAGGATATGACTGAATTACTCTTTTCATAAAACTATTCTTTTAAAATAATTCTTTCTTCTGTAATTAATAAAAAAATCAAGTGAAAGGCACAAATGAACATTTTTCCCTAAGTGCTAGAAATCAAGCATTTGTTTTAGGTGAAATGAGTTTTAAAGTAATCGTCAGTCATTCAACTAAAAGTGAAAGCAGCCAGACAACTAGAAATCTGGATTAGCTTCAGATTGAGTTGGAGTCAACTTTGTTTTCATATCTGGTGGCTCAGTTTGATATGCATTATATTTGAAAATGATGAATTCCAAATATATAAATTCCTGATGCAATTCTCAAATACAACCTAGAGACTTGAAGACAAGACTTAAAACTGTGTCTTATTTATCTGAGTTTTCGTAGCACAGAACACACAGGCTTCATAGTGTTGTTGGCTAAATGAATGTGGCCCATGTGAGAAAGCATTGAGGTGGATGAGGCTTGGAGCCACAGGTTCTAAACCCAGGTGTGTGACTAACTCACCACTTACCTTAGATAATGTCCCTTTACTCATCTAAGTTTCAGTTACAGTCTTTACAGATTAGGAATGGAATTCTGCACCCTGCAGAGCCCTGGCTTCCTGTCACTGTGTTGATGCTAATACACAAGGATGAACACGTGGACCTGTGGTGAAGGTTTGAGCTGAGCTGTGTGTGTTTTCCTATCTCTGTTCCTCTTGCCATTCCTAAAACCAGAGCTCATTTCCCTTTCTGTTGATTCCGCTTTTTACTGACCAATTAAGAAAGCACTGATTGAGTACTGACTGTATGCAATGGGCCAGTGGAAATGTACTCTAGGATTCAGGGGTGATAATGGCAGCAGATTTTCATTATGGAAGCGACCCCAGTGAAGACAGCAGTTTCTGGCGTCATGGAGATCACAGCCCAGTGATGTGATAGAGACATGTCCACCCGTCCAACCACCCATCCAGTGAGCATTGGTTGAACAGATTGTGTTGAATGCAACAATGGAATAATGTCACCAGGTTTATGGGTGATGATGGTGGCAGATTTTCATGATAGAGAGGTCACCCCAGAGGGAAAAACAGTCTCTGGATTACAGACACATTTTCATTTGCTGGGGAAAAGCTGCCCCAGGAAGCTTCTCAGTGTAGCTGACCCTGCCCCCAACTGCTCTTCTTACAGCATTTTAGTATGCCTGTTAGTTAGCAGAATGATGTACATTTTACCCCATAGGTCCTTTTTAATTCCTCATTTGCCTCCCGCCCTTCCTCCTTCAGAGTCTCTAATGTTCATTATCCCACTCTATATCCCTTAGCTTACCCATTGCTTAGCTCCACTTATGGGCGAGAACATGTGGTATTTGGTTTTCCATTCCTGAGTTACTTCACTTAGAATAATTGCCTCCAGCTCCATCCATCCAAGTTGCTGCAAAGTACATTATTTTGTTCTTTTTTATGGCTGAGTAGTATCCCATGGCATATATATGCCACATTTATTTTATTTAGTTATCAGTTGGACACTTATTTGATTCCATATCTTTGAAATTGTGAATTGTGCTGATACAAACACACATGCAGGTGTCTTTTTTATACAATGACTTATTTTCCTTTGGGTAGATACCTGGTAGTGGAATTGCTGGATCAAATGGGTGATCTACTTTTAGTTTTCTGATAAGTCTTCATAAACTGTTTTTCATACAGGTTGTACTAATTTACATTCCCACCAGCAGTGTACAAGCATTTCCTTTTAACCACATTTGTGCCAACATCTATTGTTATTTGACTTTTTAATCATGGCCATTCTGGCTGGGGTAAGGTGATATCTCACTGTGATTTTAATTTGCATTTTCCTGATGATTCGTGATGTGGAGCATTTTTTTTCATATCTTTTGGCCATTTGTATACCTTATTTTGAGAAATGTCTATTCACGCCATTTGTCCAGTTTTTAATGGGATTTTTCTTTCTTGCTGATTTGATCAAGTTCCTTGTAGATTCTGGATGTTAGTTCATTGTCAGATGCATAGTTTGCAAATAACCCTCTTTTTACATTGTAAAAACAATTAATTTTAGTAATTCTCCCAATCTCCCTCTCCCCACAAAATAAAAACAATTCAGTTAAGCTTGACACAGAAGTTTGACAGGATTTGTAAGATCTTATTCCACAGTGGTGCACGTGGAACACTTTCAGATGTAAAGTGTCCTGGGGAACATTTTCTCTTCTCTGTTCCATCAGTGTCTCTCTGTGCATTTATCACCTCGTTACTGGGGAAAAGGTCTGGGGTCTGATATTTGAGGAATTTTATGGCTCAGAGAGCAGGCTAAGTAGCAAACATGTTCCGTTCCTCCTCCTTGCCCCTCTGATTCAATCAGGATGGGAGGATGCAAAAACAAGAGAATGAGGCTTCCAGCCATTTACCAGGTGGTTACATATTCATTCTCTCTGTCTCCTGAAAGCTCTACCAGTGTCTGGACGGGAACCATCTACTCCAAGTTGTGAGGGTTCATTAAATGCCAGGCAATGTACTATGCATTTTAAGTATCATCTCATTGAATCATTTCCAGACCCTTATGAGGTATCATTATTCCCACTTAGTATTTGAATGCTAAAGAAAACAAATTCTCAAAGGACTAAGTCTACCTAAAGGCAGTAGACCTGTTGGATTACTGTTTGGACTTGGAATTAAGACAGAACTGGATTGACTCTCATCTCTCTCATTTCCTGGCACTGTGACCATTAGTAAGTTACTGAAATTGTTTGAGCCTCCATATCTCATCTGTAAAATAGAGATGATAAGAACATGGTGAGGGTCAGTCGTTCTGTACCCTGCCTGGAAGAATATTGGTTGTTGCTTATGGTTAGTGGTGAGGGAAAAATAAGGGAAGAAGAAGGGGAGTTGTTATACCACCAAAAGAAGTGGGGCTGAGCTGAGCTGAGCTGAGCAGAACTTGGCTGGCTTCGCTGGGTCTTTTGTTTTTTTTTTTTTTTTTTTTTTTTACCAGTTTGGGGCCAAGGAGATAGCTTGCACATTTGGTGAATTGATTACATATTGGGTTTATTAGTTTCTTGTGGCTGGTGTAACAAATAACCACAACCTTGGTGGCTTAAAACAAAAAGGAATGTATTATCTCAGTTCTGGAGAGGCCAGAATCACATGCTGCCAGGGCTGTGTTCTCTCCAGAGGCTCTAGGGGGGAGTTTGATTCTCGCCTCTTCCAGCTTCCGTTGGCTGCTGGCATGTCTTGATTTGCAGCTGCCTGGCTCTACGCTGTGCCTCTGTGGTCGCCCTCTCCTCTGTCTATGTCAAATCTCTCTCTCGTCTGTCTTCTAAGTTCACACTGAAGGACACTACGATTTCATACAAGGCCCACCCAGATAATCCAGGGTTGCCTCACCCTGTCAAGATCCTTAACTTAGTGACATCTGCAAAGACCATTTTCTATGTAAGGTAAAATGAGTAATATTGTAAATTGAATAATATGCAGATTCCCAGAATTAGGACCTGATATTTCTGTTGGTCATTATTGAGGCTGATACACAGCAGGATTAGGCAAATAAGTAAATACATTGGAAAAAAATGAAAGCCAGGTCTCTGAATAACAGAGAGATATAAACATGGAAGGGAAGAAAACTATAATAAACTTTGGGTTGTTGCACTGGAATGGGAGATGTCAGTATGAACACATACACATACTTTTTAATATAGATATAAATCTATGTAAACAGGCATGTGTGTATGTTTGTGTGTGTAGATATACACACACAGTTATGTATATTTCTTGTTTACTGGCAGGACCTAGAAACACTGACATTCCAATAGCAGTGAAAATACCTAGCGCCCAGTTGATGGTTTCTACATAAGGACCTCTTTCAAATGAAAGGCTTCTAAAAGAGACGATTGATTCCCAGGATGGGATAATCATTGTAGAACATGAACCTGAGCCATCTTATTGTGCCAGAAAGTCAGGAAGTGCTGAAAACATAATAAGAACATAGGGATGAAGTTGATGGGGTCTGTTGGCCAGGGGCACTTTGAACACCAAAATTAATAATGACAGTAATAGTATATAACTTTTAAGTTTTTTTTGTGTGTGGCAGGGTGTTACTCTGTCACCCAGGCTGGAGTGCAGTGGCACCATCTCCACACACTGCAACCTCTGCCTCCCAGGTTCAAGCAATTCTCCTGCCTCAGCCTCCCAAGTAGCTGGGACTACAAGTGCACACCAGCATGCTTGGCTAATTTTGGTATTTTTAGTAGAGATGGGGTTTCACCATGTCGGCCAGGCTCATCTCGAATTCCAGACCTCAGGTGATCTGCCTGCCATGGCCTCCCAAAGTGCTGGTATTACAGGCATGAGCCAATGCACCCAACCAGTAATGGTATATAACTTTTTGAATAACTAGGAATTCTGCTATAAATAAGGAATTAATAAATAAATAGGGAGAAAATAAAACTTTTTAATAGTGGAATGCTAACAGGTAAGTGTACAAAGATTATGGATGGAATTGGGAAAATAACTGTTTGGCTAACAAAGTAATAATTGATGAAGACTAGAATCATCAATGCATGTTAAAATTAACAGGTGAATGTTTGATGAGAAATGGGATATTCACGTAATTTAAAATTATCTTCCTATAGGATACTTCTTAATTACCAATTCATTAATGAGTACAAAATATTTCCTTAGTTATCCTCTCAATGGAGAAACTTGGCAGACAACAATTCTATGCAGAGGATAAAAATGAGCAACTCCTGTAATGGGAGAGCTGATAAAAGTTATCGTTGCTGTGATGGAATGAGCTGTCACGACTTCTCGTGCTATATACTACTTTGAGAAGAATACAACCCTATTTTCCATTTCTGACAGTAATGGGAGAACTAAATCTAATTATAAGAAGACATCAGAAATATCCGAATGGAGAGATATTCTGCAAAGTACTTGCCCTCTGTTCTTTAAAGTATCAAGGTCATGAAATACAGAAAGGACTGAAGTTCCTTATTTACGAAAACTAAAGGGACGTGATGACAAAAGGTGATGCATGATCTTGACTTCCATGATCCTGGACCAGAAAAGAAAGGAGCATGTTTATAGCAGTACAATTCACAATTGCAAAAATGTGGAACCAACCCAAATGCCCATCAATCAATGAGTAAAGAAACTGTTTTATATATATATATATATATATACACACACACACACACACACACACACACACACACATATATATATACACACATATATATACACAATGGAATACTACTCAGCCATAAAAAGGAAAGAATTAATGGCATTTTCAGCAACCTGGATGGGATTGGAGGCTATCATTCTAAGTGAAGTAACTCAGGAATGGAAAACCAATCATCGTATGGTGGGAGCTAAGCTATGAGAATGCAAAGGCATAAGAATGACACAGTGGACTTTGCGAACTCAGGGAGAAAGGGTGGGAAGGGGGTGAGAGATAAAAGACCACAAATTTGGTGCAGTGTATACTGCTCGGGTGATGGGTGCACCAAAATCTCACAAATCACCACTAAAGAACTTACTCATGTAACCAAACACCACTTGTTCTCCAATAACCTATGAAAATAAAAAGATTTAAAAAGGTTGAATAAAAAAAATCCTGTGCTTAACGAAAATAAAAGAAAAGAAAGAAGGAAGAGAGACTTGTTTATTTTGCTTAATTGTTGGTGTTGGCTATAAAACACACTGGAGGCACTGGAGGTAAAGTTGTAACGGAGTCTGTTGATTAGACAGAAGTATTGTATCAATGTTAATTTCTTATTTTGATGGTTATAGTGTGGCTATATAAGAAAGTGTATTTCCTTCTTAAATAAAAATAGACATTGAGATATTTAGGGGTAATGAAGCATAATTTCTGCAATTTACTCTCAAATGACTCAGAGGGAAAAACAATACATACAGAGAGTATCTAAATTAGAAAGAGAAAAAATGATAAGGCAAATGGTGTCAACTGTTAACATTTAAGTAATCTGGGTGAAAATTACTCATGGGTATTTTTCACTATTATAACTTTTCATATGTTTCAAATTGTTTTTTAAAAAGAAAAGAAAAATAGGAACAAGTTCACAGTTGCTTAGAGTATCACTGGGATTCCAATTCATGCCTGTCTTCCTGCAAAGTCTGTACTGTGAATTTTTTTTATTTAACCTTTTTAATTTTTTTTTTATTTTCATAGGTTATTGGCAAACAAATGGTGTTTGGTGGCATGAGTAAGTTCCTTAGTGGTATTTTGTGAGATTTTGGTGCACCCATCGCCCGAGCAGTATACACTGCACCAAATTTGTGGTCTTTTAGCTCTCCCACTCTCACCCAGTAACTGGGGGTGGGACAATATTGGTCCTCAGCTTTTGATGTCTTCATGATATTTATTCAACCTATATTTATGGTGCACATATTTGGCCAATATATGCCAATAACAGCAATTAATAGACATCAGTTCCACTCTTAAAAGCTTCCATTCCAGCTGCAGAAGAAAAAACAAAAGCAAAAATCCGTAACCAAAGCACAAAGCAAAGCAAAACAAAAACACAAAATAAAAAGGAAAAAGAAAAACATGATAAGAAGATAAAAATGTCATGAAGCTATTCGTTTTACTCAGGGTTCACAGAAGGCATTTCATAAAAAGTGATGATTAAATTGACTTCTAATTGACACAAAAGACGATTGCAAGAAAATCTGGTCAAATCCTCCCTTCCAGCGAAAGGCAGAAGCAAGTGCATGGACCATGCAGCACAGCCAAGCTTGGCTACACTCAGAGCACACAGGCTCATGGCTGGCATGAAGAGAGTGCCAGAGAAAGTGGATGGAGGGAGGCAGGATAGGAAGGTGCAGCTCACGTTGGGCCTTGTGGGTGTTTGGATGTTTTTCTGGCGGAGTTAAGAAGCAATTGGAAGACTTTGAGGAGAGGAGCAACATGATCTGAATTGTTTTTGAAAATCATTCTGAATTCTTTGAAAATAAACTCCATTACCTTGATTAATTCATTGTTCATCTCAGGGACTCAGTTTCTGTATCACTAAAATGAAAAAGGTGGAGTAGCTGGAGCCTGCTCTCCCTGACAGCACAGATCTTACAGAATGTAATGATCGCCCTGAACCTGAAGGCCTCTTCTCCTGGTACTACCCCAACTCACTCATGGCTGCACCCACACTTCCCTGCCCTTCCGAGATCCTGATCTCCGTGGTGCAGGTTGTTGGGAGCTCAGCCATTGGCTAGTCTTTGGAATAAAGGAAGGAAGGAATGATTGCAGCTCAAAGTGCAGCTGGGTTCTTTTTTTTTTTTTTTTTTTTTTTTTTTTTTTTTGAGACGGAGTCTCGCTCTGTCGCCCAGGCCGGACTGCGGACTGCAGTGGCGCAATCTCGGCTCACTGCAAGCTCTGCTTCCCGGGTTCACGCCATTCTCCTGCCTCAGCCTCCCGAGTAGCTGGGACTACAGGCACCCGCCACCGCGCCCGGCTAATTTTTTGTATTTTTAGTAGAGACGGGGGCAGCTGGGTTCTTGACCCACAAGCAGCCTCCTTCTGGAGTCATCGTAGAGCAGAGTTCCTCTGTCATTTACTGCAAGCTTTATTGGGAAATTCCTTGTGATTGCTGCATAAAAAATACTGTCTTGGTAATGTTGTTCGGTTATACAAGATGAAGCATTAGGGAAACCCCGCACTCCTACTACAGCCAGATACACTGCCCCAAAAAACAAGAAAGAGAAGCACTAAGTTTCTCGTGGTGAGATTATTCAGTGGAGAAAGACGGAGAATCCCCCTCAACCAGTTAACAACAAATCTTGCTTCTGATGATGCCCAGCACTTTTGATACCCCTCAAAGAGAAATTGTTACCATGTAACAGTGGTACTTTTTTTTTTTTTTTTTTTTTTTGAGACAGGGTCTGACTCTGTCACCCAGCCTGGAGTGCAGTGGCATGATCATGGCTCAGTGCAGCCTCCCCAGCTCAGCAATCCTTCCACCTCAGCCTCCTGAGTAGCTGGGACCACAGGTGCATGCCACCATGCCAAGCTAATTTTTATATTTTTAGTAGAGACAGGGTCTCACTCTTTTGCTCAGGCTGGTCTGGAACTCCTGAGCTTAAGCAATCCTCCTGTCTCAAGTCTCCCAAAGTGCTGGGATTATAAGCGTGAGCCACTGTGCCCAGCCAATGGTACCTGTTCTAAACAAGGAAGTTGCTCCGTGGTTCGGTTTACTAGCCTCTTCTCTCTCTACCTATACTTGCTCTCTGGGCAAACTTATGCTGGAGATGGTTTAAATACAATTATAGATATAAATAAATTAATTAATAAATAACACTGAGCTTCCACTTTTGGAAAGGTGGGACGGACTTACTTTATTCTTCTCTACAAGTACAACTAAAAATCCTAGACATATCTATTAAACAACAAAAAAATAAACAACATGAGAAGGCTGTGAAAAGTGGAGAGAAGGTAGACTGGCCAAGAACCACAGGACCCAAGAAACAACATGGTTTTCAGTCTCCTGGGTTTTATTGTTGCTTCATTGATCCCAGATTTGGAGCTGAAGAAGTAAGCAGCAGCCCACACCTGCTTGTGTGGCAAGATCTCACTCTCAGATGCTCATGTTACAATTCCCCACTTCCTGGGCCTCTTTCTTGTCAGGAGCAGCTTAATTTTAATAGGAAAGAAATAGCAAATCCATGCTCCACAAATCTCAGTGACAATTGACTATTACTCTTGAGGATGCAGGCTTTCCTTATATTTGGATGATAAATGCAGCTTCAAAAGCAATTTAATATCCCTGAACTTGGGATTCACAGATGGGATAAGAGGGTGGGAGGTATGGAAGCTTCTATGCTCAGAGGTATTTGTTTTATTACTATATGTCATAAACCTCAAATGCAGAGTGAAGTGTATATTGCTGTGCTGTTGTATGTGTGCCTTGATATGCATGTGTGTGTAATTGTGTGCAGAGCTCATTGATTAGGAAGGAACTCGGGAGTTCAATTCCCTGGGTGCAAATCTCAGCTGTATCACTGTCTTAGTCTGTTTTGGGTTGCTACAAAAGAATACCTGAGACTCTGTAATTTATTTTAAAAGTACATTTTTTCAGCTCATGGTTCTGCAGGCTGGGTCAATCAAGGGCATGGCCCTGGTTCTGGTGAGGGCTTTCTTGCTGCCTCACAACTTGGTACAGAAGAGGGTCAAAGGTGAAGCAGGCCACCTGGCTTTATAACAACTCTTTCTCCTGGGAACTAGCTCACTCCCATGATAACTAATCCAGACTCAAAAGAGCTGGGACTCGCCACTGGGAGGACAGCACCAAGGCATTCATGAGGGATCTGCCCTCATAACCCAAACACTTCCCATCACCCTGTGTGGCAACCCCTACCACCATTGCACCCTTCCCTGCACAGGTCTGTTCCCAGTGCATTTGGCGTATACTCTTGAATGGCATCAATACAGAGTATGAAGTGATATATTATAGATGTACATCTTCAAAATTTACAAAACTCTATTCTGCCATGTACGGATGCTTGTTTATCCACCAGCTGTCTGAGAGGGGTGGGAAAACAGCCTTGATTTGTGGTGTTTGTCAATTTCTTTGGTGTAAATTCTCCCACAATGGATCATTTTATGCTGCTAATGCTTTACAATTTACTCAGAAATTTAGCAACCTGTTCCTTTGAGCAAACACTGGTGGCGTTAGCACACAACTGATGTTTTTGCAGTAGAGGTCTTGTGCTTCTCTATTTCTTCCCACCAGGGACAGTGCCTTTAAGAGCACTCCTGATGGTCTCAGCTCCTTCATTGATTACTTCTGACATTTCAACTGAGGAGAGGGCTGTCTCAATGACCTAGTCCCGTCCAACAACCTCAGGATTAGGATTTGTTTGTGTCCATTTCCCTTCATAAATTTTACAGTCAATGTTGGTTCGGGTTATTTTAAGGGTAGTTTTTGTGCACAGAAAAAACTGTTTGAGACTGTGTGTTCATTAAAATTACTTCATTAAATTAAAGCAATCAGGATTTAAGTTATATTTAAACATTTGATTTTGACTTAAAAGTCTTATTATTCTGTTTACAAAGCTATTGATAAACATACACATTCTATATAAAAATGTTAAGAAGGGTTTAAATAATTTGATTGCATTTGATTGCATATCTTTTTTTTTTTTTTTTTCAAAATGGAGTCTTGCTCTGTCGCCCAGGCTAGAGTGCAATGGCATGATCTCAGCTCACTGCAACCTCTGCCTCCCGGGTTCAAGCGATTCTCCTGCCTCAGCTTCCTGAGTAACTGGGATTACAGGCATGTGCCACCACACCTGGCTAATTTTTGTATTTTTAGTGGAGACAGGATTTCACCATGTTGGCCAGGCTGGTCTTGAACCCCTGACCTCAATCCACCTGCCTTGGCCTCCCAAAGTGCTGGGATTACAGGCATAAGCCACTGTGCCTGGCCATATCTTTAAATATTTTAACCATTTTTTAAAATTTCATATATGTAACTCTCATCTTAAGCAGTTCACATGCCTTATTAGAAAACTATCCCAAGTAATTTGATAATCTCAGCTAATAGAGCATATTAAACTCCTAAATATAGAAACCTCAATTTCTCATAACTAATTCAATGGTTTTTAAACATATATTTTCAAATTAAAAGGCACATATTCTTTTGTTGTTGTTGTTGTTTTTGTTTTTGAGACGGAATCTTGCTTTGTCGCCCAGGCTGGAGTGCAGTGGCGCAATCTCGGCTCACTGCAACTCCGCCTCCCGGGTTCACGCCATTCTCCTGCCTCAGCCTCCCGAGTAGCTGGGACTACAGGCGCCCGCTACCACTCCCTGCTAATGTTTTTGTATTTTTTAGTAGAGACGGGTTTCACCCTGTTAGCCAGGATGGTCTCGATCTCCTGACCTCGTGATCTGCCCGCCTCGGCCTCCCAAAGTGCTGGGATTACAGGCTTGAGCCACCGCGCCCAGCCAAAAAGCACACATTCTAAAATTTTTTTTTTAATTCCCAGTTTATTTGGCATTGAAAGACAAGCCTGTCATGTGATATGTGAAATTACCTTAATTATTGCACTTCACAATCCCACTACTATCAACTCATTCCTAAACATAACACAAAAATATTCTTAAAAATAAAAATTAGATGATTTATAAATTAACATTAATAAATGTAGAATTAATAAAATCATTGTAGGATTTCAAGACCCATTAAGAAAATTATATCATGTTCAACAAATTGCAGTTACAATTCCAGGCAAATTTGTTTGTTGAGCAGAGATTTTTGGCTGGCTGTGGATTTGGAGATACAAGAAACATGGCTGTTTTCACCAAATATGCCTATGCAGCATTTTTCTAGAGTTTCTCTATTAAGGGGATACTAAGTCCATTCTCTTCCTATGAAGTAAGCTTCCTACCCATGCTCTTCACATACAAGTCACATATTAGCTAATTTTAGCAACCACTCACATTGCTTCCAAACTGATAATATTCAGATTGTTTTTACTACTTGAGTCTCTCCTATCGTGGGCTGGTTTTTCTACCTTCCCTGCCTGGCTGTGCCGCTTCTTTTGCAGGATCTGAATATAGGATTGAGCTCTTTTTTTTTTTTTTTTTTTTTTTTTTTTTTTTTTTTGAGAAGGAGTCTCGGTCTATCGCTCAGGCTGGAGCAGTGTCCCAGTCTCGGCTCACTGCAAGCTCCGCCTCCCAGGTTCACGCCATTCTCCTGCCTCAGCCTCCGGAGTAGCTGGGACTACAGGCGCCCGCCACCACGCCCGGCTAATTTTTTGTATTTTTAGTAGTGACGGAGTTTCACCGTGTTAGCCAGGATGGTCTCGATCTCCTGACCTTGTGATCCGCCCATCTTGGCCTCCCAAAGTGCTGGGATTACAGGCGTGAGCCACCACACCCGGCCCGGATTGAGGTTTTTATGTTCCCCGTGTTTCTATTTGTCGCTGTACTCTTGGTGTGAGTCACTGTGGTGACAGCAGCATCCAGGACGTCGATGCCCACCCGTTAGCCACCTGAAGCTGCCCTCCCTAAGAACAGAAACATCCTCCTTGTTGAAAATGAAATGGACACTGTTTAGTCTCGCATTGACTCTGCTGTTGATCGTCTCTACTTGAAAGTAGGATCTATTGCAGTGCACTCTCCTGGTTTTCCTTCATTCTTTTCTGAATATGCACCTTGCACATGTGTGGTGTTTATTGTACCTGTGTGGGGTTTTATTACTTTATTATCATTTTTTTCTTTAAAGTTCAGTCTCCATAGAGACTGTCAAAGATTGCCAATGTTGATTCTATTTCAAGTCATCATGACCGAGTACTGGGAAAAATTTTCATGCAATAATTACACCTCAGATAGGGAGGGATAGCATTAGGAGATATACCTAATGTTAAATGACGAGTTAATGGGTGCAGCACACCAACATGGCACATGTATACATATGTAACTAACCTGCACATTGTGCACTTAAAGTATAAAAAAAAAGTATAAAACTTAAAGCATAAAAAAAAATTACACCTCAGATAAACCTCCTTGGCTATGGTACTGCCACTGTGAAAAGCTTTTATGGGTTTTAAAAAAATGTTCAAATGGGCATTTTAGAGCTTAAAGAGGAAGACCACAATAATTTCTACCTGACTTAATTTAGTATATTTAGATATTTAAAGGACGAAATTTTAAAACCATTTTAAAATTTTAAACATTCAATATAATTCCACAAATTTCATTTAACAAAGTGAATGACCTTAAAAAACTAGACTAGCCAAGGATGTCTATGATTAATAGATATTAGACAATAGATTGAGTACCCAAAACTTCTCATAACTTCTTGTTACTAAATTTGTGCCATAGGAATCTGGCTCTTGATGGAGGAAGAGGCACAAGGGCACAGATAAAGATGCTTCACTTCCTCCCTGTTCTTCTGAATCCGTCTACTTTCCTTTGGTGATCCCAAACAATCCTTATCTTTGTAATGTTGAGTGTCAAATAATTACTCTCAGGCTTAACTTATCCCTCTTCATAAATGTATGTTACCAGATACATCCTAGACGTCTCCATTTGAATATATGTAGGTGACTCGAACTTTACAAAAACTCCAAAGGTCTCATCACTTTCCTCCTGAATTTGCTTCTATTTATGTGTCTTTGTCTTGGACAGAAGTGTAACCCACCATTCACCTTCCACCCCACTGAGAGTTCTGAAGTCATCCTTTTGTCTTTCCAACTCCGAAGCCAGTCAATCAAGGCACGCCTACCAGTCTCCAGAACATTTCTCCAATTGATCCTATTTATTCCCCTGTCAGCAAAACTATCCCATTTTTCTCCTTAATCAACTCTTCCTCAACTGGAGGAATAAACACACAACACTTTGACTTGCCTCAAATATTGTCTCATTGCCATTCATTCTCCATAGCTCCATAGTGCAGCCACAATACTCTTACAAAACATCAATCAGTGCATTTCGCTCTCTTTGTTGAGTATCCTGCTATTCTGACAAAACATCCCAGAGTCTAAATATGTTAGCCAAGGGTCTCCATACAGATAGTTAAGGCAATGTAAGACTTAAGAATGCAACCTTCAGTTGCTGAGGTCCTACTTCCAGGATTTCTGACTTAGTTGGTCTGGAAGGCGCTGAAGCACGTATATACTCTTTTATATGGTAGCAATGAACAGTCAGGTTGAGAAACTCAAGTGTCAGTCTGCTTGGATATGATGATAATATTTAGCTGGATGTATTCTAATATTTAGCACATTTCACAGCTATGTGAAATTACCTATATCCCTGTTTCTTCAATTGAATGGGCACGTAATAACTGTACCTTCATTGTATAATTTCTTTGCAAATAGAATGAATCCAAAGCCCTGAAACCTAGTAAGTGCTAATTAAGTGAAAACCACTGATACTATTTATACAACTTTATTTGCAGTTACTGCGTTATATTTTATGTGCCGGAAACTTGTAGTTTCACACAGAACGTTATTTCTTTCTCATTCTATTAATTGTGTCTGGGATTAGAAACTCTGGATTTATGTATTAGTCAACGTTCTCCAGAGGGACAGAACTAATAGTATATATGTTTATAAAAAAGGGAGCTTATTAGGGAGAATTGGCTAACACAATCACAAGGCCAAGTCCCATGACAGGTTGCCTGTAGGCTCAGAAAGAAGGAAGCCAGTAGTGGCTCAGTCCCAGTACAAAACACTCAAAAGCAAGGAAGCAAACAGTGCAGTTTTCAGTCTGTGGCGGAAGGCCCGAGAGCCCCCGGCAAACCATTGGTGTAAGTCCAAGAATACCAAGGCTGAAGAACCTGGAGTCTGATGTCCAAGAGCAGGAGGAGTGGAAGGAAGCATCCAGCACGGGAGAAAGACGGAAGCCAGAAAACCCAGCAAGCAACGTCCTCCCACCTTCTTCCGCCTGCTTGGAAGCATGCGTGCAGCATGGATCGTGCCCACTCACGTTGAGGGAGGGTTTCCTCTCCCAGTCCACTGATTCAAATGTCAGTCTCCTCTGGCAGCACCCTCCCAGACACACCCAGGAAACAGCACTTTACCAGCCATCCAGGCATCCTTCAATCCAATCAAGTTGACACCTAATATTCAATCATCACAGCTTCCTTCCTTTCTCTTATCAATCATCTCCCTCCCGATGTGTACCCCGGATCCTTCCTTATCTCTATCCTGACTGAATTTTGTGGCTGATATTGATCTTTCCACACAGCTTAATAATAATGTGTCTAGATGTGTATTTGTCTCTCTAAAATGTTAGCATATTTACAATTAAAAAGTAAATGCAGGATTGTGTCTTATGCATGTCTGTGTCTCTGTCCCTTACCTATGGTAATGGAAGATGCAAAATACACACTCGTTAACTCTTATGATTTTCCTGGCTCTTAAATGAAACCATCTAAGTCAATATGTCACCTTACTAGATGAGAAAACAGGCTTAAAATGGCATACATATTATATCATTAATGTTCATTAGAAATAAGACCAGAGAAGAAAGCTGTGTTTCAGAATAAAATCTCTCATAAAATATTAACTATAAATAATTGGTAAACTAAGTCAGTAAATAAATCAGGAGAACAAAAGCAACAAACAATTGTACATTTTACAAAAATGATTCTATCTGTATAATGACAGCAGGCTTTCAGAATTCAGAACTAATTTAACAAAGCAGATGAGGCTCTTTTAAAAAGTGATCAGTCATTATGCCAAGTAGTATTTAAATCCCAGCTACCCAGAATTTTGTGATGAAATTTTTAAGAAAAAAGAATCATGTTTTGCCTCAAAGTAGGCAAAATAATAACTTGAAAGACAACTTTTTATTGTAGGTCTCACCAAAAGAGAAATAAAAGCAGAAAAGAATCTTGTAAAGTTATGATTTTAGCCTGACTTTGAAGAGTTCCCTATTTTGTAGATACTTAAGGAAAAAAATAAATAAATACTGAAAGAAAGAAGGGAAGTAGGAAATGCTATTGGAATTTTATCAAGACCCTGCTTTAACACAATTGGCAAGTGAGCAAAGATAAACCAATATTTTAGGTATTTGTTAGCATAGCATAGCACCTTATGTGACAAAACCCATATCCAATCCTTATTAGCCTTGTGACCTTGGACAACTTTCCTAGAGGTTATAACTTTTAAAATTCTTTTTTAAAATGGTGATGCTAATAACTATTTTCTAAGGTTGATAGAAAAAAATGAGATACTATTTAGGAAAAAAAAACTTTGCCAAGTCCATGGCATGTGGAGAGAACCGAATCAACCTTTTTCAAATGAAAGCTCACATATACCTGAAAACTGTGTTCATGGATCAAACTTTCTTGTTTATAACTGGTGTCATAATAGCTATTTCTATGCCTTCAGCTTCTTTAAAGTAAGATTGGGATTGATATCTGAATAAATGTGAATGACAATTTTTTGATCAAAAAAGGAAGATTGTATAATCTATGATTAAATCATACTAAATATTTAAAAGCACTTATTTCCCCAATGGGTAGCTTCCTGCATTATGAATGAAAAGGATTTCTCTTTTTCTGACTCACAGTGTTTTAAAGCTGAAGCTTCACAAAACCAAGGTATTTTTACATGTGACTTTGTACCCACACAAATATTCCTACAAGGGTTAAATGGAGTACTGATTAAGATTAGAAATACACGATTCCAGTTATGGAAACTTTCCTTTCTTTTTCCCTATATCCAAGCTTAAAGGTTATAGTTTTAAAATAAACAGTGAGAGGAACGGCCTTCCCTTAGTAGACACAGGGAATGTATCACCTTTAAAGTCTGTGCTGCTAAGATTAGAAATAGGCATGGACAAATCTAAACAAAGTGCTGCTGTCTGCATATTGCTTCAGATCAGCTGTCGAAGATTTTTGTTTGTTGCATTTTGTTTGTGCTTCAAGGTCCACAGTCCCTTTGAGTAACCGGCTCCTAAGGCCCTGGCTGACACGCTCAGGTTGCGAAAGTTGGTGGAAAACTGAAGCAGTGTTAGAATGACTGATGAGGAGGCTGTTGTGTTTAAGGGTGAAATGATGGCCCACAGGCATCCATGGACACCTCCTAAAGGAAGAAAGTGGCTTTGCTCTGTGAAGGAGGATAGCAGCAGGGCCTGGAAATGGGAGTTTGCCTCCGCTTCCTCCTGGGAGGTTCCTCAATCACTCCGTAAATACAGGGCTGTGGCGTGCAAACACTAATGCAGGTGTGGTTCCATTTCTACCAGCTTAGAGAAGGCCACATGAAACAAATCAGAACATAAAAAAAGAACAAAATGAGAAAACCAAGGACAACCAATCAGAGGTCTGGGACTCAAAAGATGTGGCGTGGTTGGATATTTAAATGATGTCGCACAGTGTGGACAGAAAAAGATCACCCCCGGGGTGGAGAAAGGGGGTGGTCAATGTCAGAATTAGGGGTTAAAAGATTGAAAAATATTTTCTTCTCTTTTTGAAGCCATAACAGAGAATGAACAAAAGAATTAGTAATAGAGATACCAAAGTCTACATGGTGTTTTCTTTTTCTTTCTCTTTCTTTCTTTCTCTTTCTTTTCTTTCTTTCTTGCTTGCTTGCTTTCTCTCTCTCTCTCTTTCTTTCCCTCCCTTCCTCCCTCCCTCCCTCCCTCCCTCCCTCCCTGCCTCCCTCCCTCCCTCCCTCTTTCTTTCTTTCTTTCTCTTTCTTTCTTTCTTTCTTTCTTTCTTTCTTTCTTTCTTTCTTTCTTCCTTTCTTCCTTTCTTCCTTTCTTCCTTTCTTCCTTTCTTCCTTTCTTCCTTTCTTCCTTTCTTTCTTTCTTTCTTTCTTTTTCTTTCTTTCTTTTTTATTTTTGACAATCCCATTCTCCATACAATTTTGTCAGTTATTTCAAAGCCATAAGTCCTGGAGCTCAGACCTGAAATTGTTCAACTGCTGCGTGGTTGCTCACTAGCTGCCTCAACCCACCCTCACTCTGCCTACAGAAGTGGGCCTAGAAATCACAGCCAGCCAGTGAGAGCCTCACTTTATTTTCAGGCCCTGTGATTGCTTCTGGGCTGGATATATTCTCCATCAGCACAAATGAATCTAGATTCGAGAGGTTTTGTGGAACTGCAGGAAAAAGAGAAAACACCTTACTGCTGGTACCACTGATGGTGTCAGCGTGCGGATTTCATGGGTAATCTCAAAGGTCAGTCCCGGGCTTAGAAGGGAAGCCACAGTAAAAGAGCAGATAAGAAATTTAGGCTGGGCACCGTGGCACGCACCTGTAATCCCAGCTACTTGGGAGGCTGAGGCAGGAGAATAGCTTGAGCCCGGGAGGTGGAGGTTGCAATGAGCCAAGATCACACCACTGCACTCTGGCCTGGGTTACAGACTCCGTCTCAAAAAAAAAAAAAAAAAAAAAAAGGGAAATGGAGAAATGAGTATATAAACCAATACCTTTCTTGACGTGTTCGAGCTACATTTTCATCATTGCTTGAAACCAAAAGAGCCTCCAATGATAGTGTTTATTTTCTTTCATCTCCCAAACTGCATGTCTTAATGATTTGAACATAAATGGCTCTTCCAATGGTTTATTTAGTTAAATAAAACTTTCCTTGCATATGAAGTCCTCATACAGCTCAGAAATAATGCAGCATATTACAGATATTTTCAGGGTGAATCAAAAATATTTCATGTAAGTTAACAGAGCCACGGGACAGCTAGGAGTCTGAATTCCACGCAAGAGCCAGGCGCAAAGGCACGGCCAAGGCAGGGAGCTCCCTGGAAGCCGCTGAGCCTGCATCGAGGTCGCAAGCACATTTCTGGGAATTCAAATTAATTACCTAATGTTTCTTTTCTGGGAGCAGCATGCTAAGTGAGGGGCAAACGCTCGAAGCTGCAGGCCTAAGAAGCAAAGGAAGATAAACCTGGACTTTTTCTGTCCTCACATGTTGAGCAACAGGACCTGGAGATCACTGATGATTTTTATTAGGACAAAGGTCTTGTGAAACCGTCACAGTATAACCCGAACAGTCACTCCTGTGATGAAGAAATGAAAACCTTGTGTGTTTTTCCTCTTTACATCATGGCCCAACTCCTCCACCTTTGTTGCCAGCACTTGCTATGTATGTGTCTGCATAAATGTGTGCACATGCATATATGCGTGTATTTCAATGCACGTATGTGTGTATGTATGTGTATGTGTTTCTGTGTGAATATGTTTGTGTGTGTATGTGTGTGTAGATGTTTGTAGGCGTGTATATGTGTGTGCGTTTCTGTGTCTGTGTGTGTTTGTGTGTGTTTCTGTGTCTGTGTATATGTTTGTAGGTGTGTGCATAGGTGTGCGTGCCTGTGTATATGTGTATGTGTGTGTATATATATGTGTTAATATGTGTATGTCTGTGTATTTGCATAGGTGCATATATGTCTGTGTGTGTGTTTGCATGTGTGTGAGTGTGTTTGTGTGAATGCATGTTTATCTTTCTGGTTTGAAGAATCAAAAGAAGCTGTTCCTCCTCTGCCATCCTGGGCATTTTGGTGTTACAGAACCAAAAGCATTTGAGCCATTTAACCACCATAGCACTTTACCCCATCAATCAGTGGAGTATGGCAGTTCTTTGATGAAGAGATGAAAGAAAGCAAAGAAGAAAAAGAGAGAGAGAGAGAGCGAGAGAGCAAGGCAAGCCAGCAACCTTTCCTCAAGCCAGAGCATTTCCTCAGTGAGAAGATAGAAGAAAGGCAAATGCTTATCCATTAGCACGTCACTCACCCAGAATTGAGGCAGGACAAGGAAACAAGAAAAAAAGAGAGACATGCAGGATATTGAAAAGCTTTTCTAAGTTGGATATTCTTTCCTGTTCAGAAATTAGCTTTTGAGAAGGAAGGATGTGGGTTCATGCTGAAAAGAATGGTTACGGAGCGCAGCAGGGTGCTTCTACCTCGGATCCTATTGGGATGGATTCTGAAGGCACTGGGGAGGTGCCGGGCTGCCTCTGCTGCGATGCTCCTTTAGGTCCCGCTGTCTCTGTTTGAACCAGGAACTAATTTAGCCGATTTATTTATTTAGGCAATGTTCTGTCTTCATTGCCCACAAGATCCTCAAGTCAAGCCATACCCAGGATCCCCTTACGGACACAAGAGATTCTCAGCTCAGGCCGATTTCTCAGGTTTTTTTCTGTGTACATTTAGCAGGTCTATCTTCTGGGACTCTCTCTGTAGGACTTTACCACTCTCATTAACAATAACAAATCCTGATTAAGTTCCTACAACTTGTGAGGTCTACAGGGGACACACAGGGGAACGAAGCACAGAGGCCCTAATGGAGAATTCGGGCCACCATATTCTGGCAGCCACCACTGTTGGGGTTTCTGAGACTGTCCCTCCTAAATCTCACCCATCTTCTCCATTGGGTCCTAAACAAATGGAGACATGAGATATGGCAATTAAAGGTCAAATTATCAGCTTTATTACTGTTAGAGAACAAATTGCATATCATGGCTGTGGGTGTGTTAGCCAAGTGGACTTTCTCATTCTGAACTGCAGAGTCTGGCTAACCATCTCACCTGGCCTCAGGGATTGCTAAACCAGAGGAAGCCTGCCAGGTGTGGCACAGCGTATTAGATCCATATGACTCCTATAGGAGATTAACATGAATGTAGTGGCTACAAACACACAAATTTATCTGAAAGGACATTAGCGACAGAAGTAGGCAAATGGCAAGAGAAACGGTAGAGAAATGGCAAGCTCAACAATTAAAAGTCGAAGTCCTGTTCTCGGAGTTACAGTCTGTTTATGGCACCAGGACACTATATACTGCAACGATCAGTTCTGTGTCACAATGATAGCTGTCTGCCTTGTGTTCAGAGTCTACTTGCCCAGTAAGACCACCAGAAAATATTACTAGGTTGGTGCAAAAGCAACTGCGGTTTTTGCCACAAACCTAATATATTCCTATTATATTGATCAACCAAAGATGAATGGATTAAACTTAAACTTACTGTATCAAGGAGGCCTTGAGAGAATCTTAGCAATGTTTCAAAAGGGGGCAGGCAAAATAGAATATTTATATCATGTGGGTGCCTGGGTTCAATTTCTCTAAGATGGGGCTTTTGGAGTCAGAACTGGTTGAATTTTGTATCATTTTTGACATAATAATTTAGGACTGGTGGACACAGCCAGGTAAGAGTTTTCATTAGTAAACTATTGACTGATAAAATAACTGTTTACTCAGGTGAGCAAACTAATGTCCTGGGTAAATTGATTTACAAAATATTCTGACATATTCAATAGTCATTTATTGGTTATATGGTCTTATTTTCTGGGACAAGAAATTTCTAAAAAAAGTGGTTACATCATATTGATGCAGGTGGTTTCATTTCCTACCTAGAATAAATCCTGATTCATATTCTTACTGGCTAAGAGGCCTTAAGCAAGTCCTATCATCTTTCTAAGATTCAGTTTCTTCAGGTATAAAATGGGGATTAGAAAAGTATCTTATGAGGCAATTCTGAGGATCAAATGAGATAATCTATATAAAACCCTCAGAAGAGTTTCTGCAAAAATATAATTCAATACATAATAACAATACTGATAACACTCAAGAGTCAGGGAATGATTTGAGAATATCTTGAATGCAAAAGCAACAGGCACCAATCAACAGATGCTCACTCTGTGAATAGGTGTCAGTCTGCATAAGAAAAAAATGCTACAGCATATGTTTAGAATCTGTAGAGAGAGAATAATCTTTCAGCCATCTTGAACTAGACTAACGCTTTTCAATCATATTACTGTGGGATACCAATGAGCCACAAGCCCTTTAAGAAGTATGATATCCAATTTTGATTATCCAATTTACATTACATTGTATCTTTATGTTGTCAACAAGAATTGCAAACTCATGTGCCCCAAATGATCTGTCTATAAGTCAGACTTAGCCAGTTGCTGATATGTTGCAATGCAAAACTAATATTGTCAGAATTCTAATTGTCAACAATAAGCAAAATCCACATTGTATTATTAAATCACTCGATGGAAAAGGAGTTTAATGCTATGCAGGGCAAACACAGTATTATGGAAGGATTATCTAGTCATCAGTATGACAATGTGTGAGACTCTCTGCATACTAATATCCATCAGCAAGACTAAACATTGAACTCAGTGGATTTTGGGGTATAGTTTAAAGAATGTTACAATTGACCCAGAAGGAGTGATAAAGGACATCGATGAAAATTAAGCGCTAGTGCCATAGTGAAGTATGTCTCTACCGGGGAATTGGAATCTTTTGCTCCTAGATACTATGACAACAGATTCAGGGCAATAATATGATATAGTCAAACAGAAACTCAGGGATGAAGAGAGGCTAAGCCAACCAGGTATAAATATTTCTATAGATTCTGTAAGACATGGTTTTCCTGTGGTAAGGTTCCCAGTGTAATTGTTGTTGCTTTGTTTTACATTCTTTCCAATTTTCCATGGCTACTCAGGGTAAGAATGAGATTAGTTAAATTTCAACACATACATTGAAATATAATACAATATGGTTTACTTTCTGCAAAGTAATTGTAGGTATACAAATACTGTCAACTCCTTGAGTCTAGTCATATTAGTTTGATGTTTTCTAGTGAAAAAAAAATTGTGTGTGTAATTTCATTTGGAAAAAAATACCCTTATAAACAGAATTGTAAGTGTGAGGCCCTCTTTGATGAGAGGCATGGACAAAATGGGCTTGGTCCTCACTTTGATAAAGTCAAGTTCATTCATAAACTTAAATTCGCAAGAAATCCAAACCCAACATTGATAGAAAAAAACAGGCCTCTAAAGTCCACTTAGACCTTTCTTCCACTTATTAAGGGTGCCTTCTCCAAACAAGCTGCTTGGCCAAATTCACCCTCCCTGTACCCCTGAACACAAAAAACACCCTTGATTCTGTGTCCTCTTCTAGCTAAGAATACTTTTTCCTGGGAAGAACAAAAAAACAAAATCACATCCCAATAGCCGTATCCTTTTCGGAAGACATGTGATTAGCCAAAAAATAAAAATACAAGGTTTTTGGCCATGGCCAGGTGCAATGGCTCATGCCTATAATCCCAGCACTTTGGGAGGCTGAGGTGGGTGAATTACTTGAGGTCAGGAGTTTGAGACCAGCCTGACCAACATGGTGAAACCCCATATCTACTAAAATAATAAAATAAAATAAAATAAAATAAATTAACTGGGCGCGGTGGCGCATGCCTGTAATCCCAGGTACTTGGGGGGCTGAGGCGAAAGAATTGCTTGAACCCAGGAGGTGGAGGTTGCAGTGAACCTAGATCACGCCACTGCACTCCAGCCTGAGCAACAAGAGCAAAACTCCATCAAAAAACAAAAAACAAAACAAAACAAAACAAAAAAAACAAGGTTTTTATTTGACCCAGAAAAGCATTCATTCCTGACTTTTATTTTTTTCTTCCCAGAATAAAAAAAAAAAGTATTCTAAGACATTCTGGTCAGGGTTCTTGGCTTTTGAAACTACACTTGCCTGTTTCTTGACTAATTCTTTTTCTCAGAGCAGTAGAATCACACCACACACCTCTTTAGTTAACACTAACTCAACTACATGCATGGCTAGCTAGAGAGAGAGAATAACATCATAACATTACTGGAGTCTAGGATTCTGCTTATATTCTTGTCCACTTGAATTTGTCCCTGTGGGAAGCTAAGGCATGAGATGGGAGATGTCAATAGTTGGTTTCCTTCATTGCTCTCAGTTCCCCAGGGTTCTCCTGGTGGGAGCATCTCTCTACACTACCCGTAGTGCCAATGTTTGAAGATACGCATCTCCCACCTTAGAAAGGGCATGTTGTCTAGACACATCAATGACATCAACTGAAATAGAAACAACCAACAGTCATCTGCTTCTATCCCTGCTCAGCTGGTTTACTGAGCATTTCTGAGTTTGGTTCTTCTGTGAACTTTTAATTTTAATTTTTATTTTTTAATTTTTTTATTTCCATAGGTTTTTGGTGAACAGGTGGTGTTTGGTGACATGAGTAAGTTCTTTAGTGGTAATTTGTGAGATTTTGGTGCACCCATCACCCAAGTAGTATACACTGCACCCAGTTTGCGGTCTTTTATCCCTCACCCCCTTCCCACCCTTTCACCCTAAGTCCCCAAAGTCCTTATGGCATTCTTACTCCTTTGCATCCTCATAGCTTAGCTCCCACTTATGAGTGAGAACATAGGATGTTTGGTTTTCCATTCCTGAGTTACTTCACTTAGAATAATAGCCTCCAATCCCATCCAGGTTGCTGCAAATGCCATTAATTCATTCCTTTTTATGGCTGAGTAGTATTCCATAGTGTATATATATATACACACACACAGATATATTTATGTATGTGTGTATATATATATTTATTTATCCCCTCATTGATTGATAGGCATTTCGGTTGGTTTTACATTTTTGCAATTGTGAATTGTGCTTCACATGTATCTTTTTCATATAATGACTTCTTTTCCTCTGGGTAGATATCCATATCCAGTAGTGGGATTGCTTTATCAAATGGTAGTTCTACTTTTAGTTCCTTTTTTTTTTTTTTTTGAGACAGAGTCTTGCTCTGTCACCCAGGATGGAGGGCAGTGGCACAATCTCCGCTCACTGCAACCTCCGCCTCCCGGGTTCAAGCGATTCTCCTGCCTCAGCCTCCCAAGTAGCTGGGACTACAGGCGCCCGCCACCACGCCTGGCTGATTTTTTGTATTTTTAGTAGAGACGGGATTTCACCGTGTTAGCCAAGATGGTCTCAATCTCCTGACCTCGTGATCCGCCCGCCTCGGTCCCTCAAAGTGCTGGGATTACAGGCGTGAGCCACCACACCCAGCTCTACTTTTAGTTCTTTAAGGAATCTCCACACTGTTTTCCATAATGGTTGGATAAGTTTGCATTCC
Organism: Homo sapiens; assembly: GCF_000001405.40. Lineage (NCBI taxonomy): Eukaryota > Metazoa > Chordata > Mammalia > Primates > Hominidae > Homo > Homo sapiens. Next base: position 127,001,231 of record NC_000012.12, on the reverse strand, counting down.
CACCAGCAGTGTAGAAGTGTTCCCTTTCACCACATCCATGCCAACATCTACTATTTTTTTATTGTTTTTATTATGGCCACTCTTGCAAGAGTAAGGTGAATCACGTCAATGGTATCAATTGAAATGAAAGCAACCAACAGTCCTGCGCTCAGCTGGTTTACTGAGCAATTTTGAGTATGGTTCTTTTGTGAACTTTTAAATCCAAACCCAGAAAAATATGTGACTTTTCTGATTTTTCTGCTGTGTCCAGGGCTCATTTGGTACATTTCTTCCATGAGGAATAAAACATCTTTAAACAGATTTCTCAGAATTATATTAGGGTTCTTTTAATGATCCGTCCTTCAGAAGAGCTATAGCTACTTCTGAAAAGGAAGACCAGAAAGAGTGATGCTCAGCCTAAAGGGATTGTTAGTTGTGTCATTTTAGGAATCTTAAGAAGTGACCTCTCTGTTTACAATAGACCCAGGACCTCAGCATGAGGCTGAGGCTGCCTGAACTGAGACGGCCGGTCCCGACACACAGACATAACCCACAATGGCTATTTTGAGCTAATATTTCCTGTTTTTTTTTTTCTCCTGCAGCCCCTGTAAAGCAACACATTTTTTGGCAAGAATCCCTGGGACAGAGAAAGAATTTCTTCTCACTTATTATTGAGAATGTTCTCATGTCTTGCAAGGTAGGTCTTGTGCTTATCCTGGGAAGAATGCCCTGGGGGAGGGAGAAGGCTTGTCTGAGCGCTGTACATTCACCGAAGAGTTTTTTGCTTTTCTGGGAGTATCAGACAAAATGCTCGGCATAATACAGCTTTGTGGTTGACATTCGATTGTCTACCTGCCCAAGTAAGTGGAACTTTGATTTTGTGGCATTTGTGTTGAATCTCAAAAGCTGAGGCCATGGAATCAGAATTTTAAAGTCCTTATGGTTTGATTTCAGGGTCCCTTAATGGTTGGGGCAGAATGTAGGGGCCAGAGCCCCAGGGTAGAGTCAGAACTCTGGATAAGGTAGGCCGGGTGTAGTGGCTCACGCCTGTAATCCCAGCACTTTGGGAGGCCCAGGTGGGCAGATCACCTGAGGTCGAGAGTTCGAGACCAGCCTGACCAACATGGAGAAACCCCGTTTCTACTAAAAATACAAAATTAGCCTGGCGTGCTGGCACATGCCTGTAATCCCAGCTACTGGGGAGGCTGAGGCAGGAGAATCGCTTGAAACCAGGAGGCAGAGGTTGCGGTGAGCCGAGATCGCACCATTGCACTCCAGCCTGGGCAACAAGAGGAAAACTCCATCTCAAAAAAAAAAAAAAAAAAAAAAAGGAACACTGGATAAGGTAAACACTAGGGTCATGACCAACACTGCAGATTTTCCTCCTGTTCCTCAACGGTTCCTTCCTTGCAGAACTATGCCTGGTTTCATTCAGGGCATCCATGTACCCAGCTCCAGGGGTCCAACTGGTCATGGATAATCGTAACTTCTACATTTGCCAGCTTTCTTTGCAGTTCCTGATGTCCATGTGACCCAACAGAGTACAGGGGATTTCCAGGAATGACTGCCTGCCTGGATCAAATAAAAATCTCTTTTCTTTCCCCTTTATGGCTAATCGCATGCATTCTCCTAAGACAGCATTAGGATGTGATTCTTAGCACCTTCTGTAGCATCTGTGACAATGACATTATAATCATGAATCTGAAACCCAACACGCAGTAGATGACACGAGACAGCAGCGAGAGATGGAACAAACAAGATATTCTTTCATTTTTATAAGCCGTGGAAACTATGAGTGTTTGTTACTGAAAACACTGGGTAAAGCCAAGAAGGAGAAAAAAATAAGCCATCCCATGAAATCCCATGTTAAGCTTTTTTTTTTTTAATCACTCTTGGTAATTTAAATTTCACCTCTCAGTAATTCTCTACTTCAGCATAGATAAAGGGAAAAAAAAAGAACATACATAGTCTAATTTTTCTCCTCTGTTCTCTTCTAATTACCAAGTTAAAAAAACATAGGCAAAAAAACCCAGAAAACCCAAAGGCATCCATTGTAAGCTCGGGAGTATAATTTCTACATGGGACATGGCTGGCCTTCCTGCTCGGTGCTACTGTTCTGGAAGTTACAGATAAGGAGTGGGCCCAGTAATCGTTCATAGAATGAATAAGCAGCACCTCTCAGTGTTCGTGTTTCTCAGGAGCATTGATGAGGATGACTCATATGCACTCACATAAAGTGCCTTATTTGACTATCTTTAGAGTCTCAAGCATCATCTCTATGGAGGATTGGTGGGCTGAGGAGGAGCCCTTTAAGGCCGTGATAAGCCAGCCACAATGACAAGCAAACCTTCAAAGGGACATAAACCCCGTGTGTCTTAAGAATTGTGTCTGAATAGTAACGAAGGCAGGCGCAGCAGACTTTTCAGGGACCTCTCAGGCCAGACAAAGGAAGCAGGCGCTGATAAAGGAGCATTTCCAGTCAGCGCAGCTGATAATTAAGTGGCCTTGTCAGAAGGCTTCCGTGTTACTGATGCAGTGGGAAGATGTGATTGAAAACATAAATAAATAGGAGAATAAAAGAGTATTAAGAATCTCCTTTAAAATAATTTCGATGTCAATGAACTTAAAAACATGCTAATAAAATAACTCAACTGTTTCTTGATGACACCACTATGAAAGCGTGACTGAGCTTCACAGAATCTAAACCTATTATTTTGTGCATTTTTACAAGATATGTATGAACATTGTTGAATGTTTATGTTATTTAATTGTGATCCCAGTAAGGGTGGACGTGGCTTATTTAACTGAACCATTGAGGCATTAAAGCAGTTAGAATAGAGTCACATTTTGGCCAGAACACATTTTTGTTCATAGTGGTAACTGCTTGGACACCAGATTAAATTGGAGAAGGGGCAGGCAGAATTAATACAAACACATCACCCGCTTAAAACAAGCGGATCTTGCGAGGTCTGCAATTAGGTCCTGTCTTTATTGGAAGCAAAACAGCTTTAATCAGGATCCTTGTTCTTGTGCGCCCTAATTATTGGGTAACAGGCAATATTATACTCTAGCTAATTGCAGAGAAATTGCTTGAATCTAAGCACCTGCAATGGTGGATTGTGCTTACTTCATCTGGTTGAATTTGGGCACAGTATTAGACAGGAGAGCCCAGGCTATCTTGAAGTTGTGCAGAGCAGGGGCTAAAAATTTAGACTTAGGACTGTGTTTTTCAGGGTTCTCTAGAGGGACAGAACTAATAGGATAGATGTATATGTGAAAGGGATTTTATTAAGAAGAACTGACTCACACTATCACAAGTTAAAGTCCCACAATAGGCCGTCCGCAAGTTAAGAAGCAACGAAGCCAGTGATGGATCAGCCCCAGTCCCAAAATCTCAAAACCAGGGAAGCCGACAATGCAGCCCTCAGTCTCGGGCAAAGGCCCGAGAGCCCCTGTTAAACAACTGGTATGAGTCCAAAGGTCAAAAAGCTGCAGAACTCGGAATCTGATGTTCAAGGGCAGGAAGCATCCAGCGCGGGAGAAAGATGAAGGCCAGAAGACTCAGCAAGTCTGCTTTTCCATCTTCTCCTGCCTGCTTTATTCTAGCCGAGCTGGCAGGTGATTACATGGTGCCCACTCAGATTAAGGGCGGGTCTGCCTCTCCCAGTCCACCGACTCAAACGTTAATCTCCTTTGGCAACACCCTCACAGACACACCAAGAACAGTGTTTTGCCTCCTTCAATCCAGTCAAGTTGATACTCAATATTCACCATCACAGGAACCAACCTGCCCGTATTCAGCTCCTGGCTTTGCTACTCCCTGGCTGTGCAAATGTGAATGTGTAACTTTGCCTTGCAGTGCTTTGCTTTCGTCTTATGTAGAGTGGGGATGATAATGACATTTACGTCAAAACACGGTTGCAGACTGAGCTAGTGAACTTTCTCTGCTAGGACTCACCCCAGGACCCAGTACCTTCAAGCGTTGGCTGTACGGATTACCAGCTCCTGAATTGCAGGCCTCTTTTCCATAACCAGAAAGACTTGTAAGTGCTTCTGTTTCCTTCCCCATAAACTCCTGGAAAAAGAACAGAAACTGGAGTCTATGATTTATTGGGGAGAGAAAAGAAAAGAAAAAAAAAAGAAGAGAAAAGAAATTGGTTAATATGCCAAAACATTATTTTAGTCATGTATGTGAAAACAGTCTGAGGACATTTCACTGTTCTGTGAATACATTATCACCCTCAAAACCTGACTGAACATGAAAATGACTCATGTGATCTGCTTTTATTGATATTTTAAAAAAGGAGAAAACAATAGACTTTCTCATTGATTGGGGGTATACAAAGGGGATCTTCAGCTTTTAGGGGAACAATTTTGGTGCGGTTTTGTTTTCCTCTCAAATACGCCATGCAGAAAATAGACTTTTGAATTGTAAACTACAGACAAAATCTTAAGCCTCACAGCCCACTGAATGGACTCTGTCTTGGTTAAGGGGACTCCAGAGAATCTTTAAAAAGACTGAGTTCCCAGCCATGATGGAGTGGGAGATTGGACAGGGCTTGTCTCATCCCCTTGCTTTTGCAAATTAGACACAACAGACCAATATTACTGTTAAAATAGGGGTCATAAGACTGGCAGAACAGACTCTTTGTAGCAATAAGATACCAAATTATAAATAAGACCTAAGACCATGCCAGGCAATGGATGAATCTACGTAAAGAGTAAACTATATTCTAACTGCCACAAGAATTTTCTTATTTTTAGCAGCTAAACAAGTGCTGGCTTTGAGATAAGCAATATTAAAACAATTTTAAGCTCATCTACGACCAGACATTGACTAACTGGCCCTCCTCTTCCATAAGCCGACAGCTTTCACTGAACAAGAGACTGATTTCAGTAACTCTCTCCTGATAAGAAGACCATGGACCATGGACTGGTTCTGGCTGGTTTACAGAGGCTGCATACTGAGTGTCTTCATGTTCTTGCTTCATCTTTTGACATATAAAGTCTAATTGTAATACATTTAAATGTTAAGTCTCCATCCCAAAGTGAACATGGCTTACGGGTAACGTGCACGTTTGTTCAATATGCATGCCTCAGGATCGCCTTCACAAATCCACAGTTCTTCCTTAACCTGTTGCATATGTTTCCTTGGTCAATGCATTCAGCTTCAACTTCTGTTCAACCACTCCTCTTCAGAGTGCTTGCTTTTGGTTTTTGGCCAGAGGCTATGCTTCCCTCCTACAAGTTGTAATCCCCCTTGTCAGGTATAAAGCTCTCCCTTCTAAATGTATAAATTGTGTGATTTTTAAGTTAGCAGAATGCACAAAAATAATTTTCCCAAAGAGCTTATTTTTCTCCCAAGAAGTGAAAGGTTATTTTTTTTCCTCAGTGCAAAGCAGATTTTAAAAGACATGAATATTCCTTCAGCAATGTCATGGAAGAGAGTCTGAAGTTTTTGTGGAGTGATTGTCTCTGGACATATTGAGAGATGGGAGGGGAGGAACTGTCCTTGGTTCACAATAAAGAGTTAGGGGCTAGGGACCAGGTCTCCCCAGTTATTTAGCAGAAATTGGATATTTTCTCCTAACATAATTCTAACTCGCCAATCCTATATATATTTTTATTTTACTGATTTTCATCTTATCGGATAATATTGATTGCTTGACTTTTTAAGATTTAAATCAGGTCAACTGAAAGAGTTCAGAAAGGACCCCGAAGAGTCAGGGAGGAAAAGTCATCCTTACTTTCAGAGTTAAAAACTCATAAGTAATTAGATTATTTTCTGGAAACTCATGGAAAATTGCTTGTGCAAAACCACTTTTATTGGATTAATGTGTAAGTATATACTACACCTTCAGGCTGGTTTTTGGTACATTGAACCGAGCACAAATAAAATTGTCCATCATAAGATAAAATCTGGTCAGCTACACTGGACTGCCTATTTTCTCTATTGGCAACATTAGTAAGTAATGACTATAGAAATTTTTTTCATTAACCAAGGCATCTATTTAGACATGGAGTGGTCAATGCTTTCAATGGTTATTTACTTCTTAGAATTGGTGGTATGAAAATGTAATAAACAATTAATATGCTAGCCACAAAATTTCAAAATCAGTAACTAAACTAAAACACTGCTTAGTGATTAGAAATCAGGCTTGGATCCCATCGCTTCCATTTTTTGTCTTTATGTTAGTTAAGATAAAGTTAAATGCTGTAACAAAGAAAACCCAAAGTGTGTAACAGTTTAAACAGAATAAAAGTTCATTTCCCACTCATAATTTTCAAAGGAAATGCCCTGGTTTGATGGTTAATATGAAGTATCAACTTGATTGAATTGAAGGATGCAAAGTTCATCCTTTCTGGGTGTGTCTGTGAGGGTGTTGCCAGAGGAGATTAACATTTGAATCAGTGGACGGGGAGAGGCAGACCCACCCTCAGTCTGGGTGGGCACCATCCAACTGACTGCCAGCGTGTCTAGAAAAAGCAGGTGGCAGAAGGTGGAAGGAGCTGACTTGCTGAGCCTTCCTGCCTTCATCTTTCTCCCGTGCTGGATGCTTCCTGCTCTGAACATCAGACTCCAGGTTCTTCAGCTTTTGGACTCTTGGACTTACAATGGTAACTTGCCAGGAGCCCCTGGTCCTTCAGCCACCGGCTGAAGGCTGCACTGTCGGCTTCCCTATATTTATTTACTTACTTATTTGAGACAGAGTTTTGTTCTTTCGCCCAGGCCGGAGTAAAGTGGTGCGATCTCACCTCACTGCAACCTCCGCGCCCTGGGTTCAAGCAATTTTCCTGCCTCAGACTCCTGAGTAGCTGGGATTATAGGCACCCACCACCACACCTGGCTAAATTTTGTATTTTTAGTAGAGACGGGGTTTCTCCATGTTGGCCAGGCTGGTCTCGAACTCCTGACCTCAGGTGATCCGTCCGCCTTGGCCTCCCAAAGTTCTAGGATTATAGGCATAAGCTGCCGCGCCCACCCGGCTTCCCTATTTTTAAGGTGTCGGGACTCCAACTGAGCTACTGCTGGCTTCCTTGCTCCTCAGCTTGCAGATGGCCTATTGTGGGACTTCACCTTGTGACTGTGTGAGTCAGTCCTCCTTCATAAACTCCCTTTCATGTATACATAGATTGTGTTAGTTCCGTCCCTCTAGAGAGCCCTGACTAATACACCCAATCAGTGAGTGGCTCTCCTCCGGAGGATGTTTGGGGGCCAGGCTCTCCCATCTTTGGCTCCTCCTTCTCTAACATGTGGCTTCTAAGCTTGCGGTGCTGCTGGGCACGGAGCTGATGGAAGAGGACAGAACCTACAGGATCACCTATGGGAGCGTCACCCAGGCCAGGTGAGGAAGGCAGTGCCACATGTCTGCACCCCTGCCACTGGCTGCGAACCAGTCCCATGACCACAGCAAGCTACAAGGAGGCTGGAAATAAAACATAACCAGGAAGGAGAGAGAGTGGGTTTGGTGAACAAGGATCCAGTCTCTGCTTCCATCTTTAAGAAGCCATGCTAAAAGGCTTCCAGCATAATTAAGGGAGAGTTTTTAAATTTTGAAGAAGCAAAAGAATAAATAAAATTTCCATCATCCATTCCTATGTCTCCATGTGTAACATGGTTTAAAACCAGAGTGGAAAGTCTTTATTTAACCATAATTTAAAGTAATAAGCTGCCTTGTAACAAAAGATATAAATGCCACAAATAGATGTCATTATGTAGTGTTACTCCAGCCTGGGCAAAAGAGTGAAACTCCATCTCAAAATAATACATAAGTAAATAAATAAATAAATAAATAAAAATAAGGAAGCCGACAGTGCAGCCTTCAGCCTGTGGCCCAAGGACCGGGGGCCCCTGGCAAGTCACTGTTGTAAGTCCAAGACTGCAAAAGCTGAAGAATCTGGAGTCTGATGTTCAGGGCAGGAAGCATCCAGCACGGGAGATAGATGAAGGCAGGAAGGCTCCGCAAGTCATCTCCTTCCACCTTCTGCCACCTGCTTTTTCTAGCTTCGCTGGCAGTCATTTGGATGGTGCCCACCCAGATTGAGGGTGGGTCCGCCTCTCCCAGTCCACTGACTCAAATGTTAATCTCCTCTGGCAACACCCTCACAGACACACCCAGAAAGGATGAACCTTGCTTCCTTCAATTCAATCAAGTTGACACTTCATGTGAGTAAGTGTAAAAAATAACCACCCTTTTATCACAAGAAGAGAGAAAAACATATATGTGAAAAATAACTTACTACATAAAATACATCTCTGTGATAAATCCCTGCTCCTCTTTTTCTCTATGCCATGATTACGGAGACCAGCAGTCTTTGGGTCACAGACAATCTCCATATCATCCCACTCCATTTCTTTGACCACAGAAACAAGAATCTGTGAGAACAGCAGTCATTACAATTGGAAGCACATTAGTGTTGAGTCACAAAGAGTTCGTTTTTATTTGCATGGCTAGATAATAATATACTATACAACTGCACAGTAATAAATGCGAAGAATTTGATAAATACTCTGCCAGGAACTTCTGGAAAAACATTAGTCTAAGCAATTCAACAATATAAATATTCTTATTTTCCCCACTTACATAGACACATATGTATTTGAAATTCAGAACTTACTTATCCGTCCATTTGTTAGACAGTGAGTATCTGCTGCGTGTCCAAGCACTAGGAGATGCTGAGGGTGTATTTCTAAGTGACTTATAGAGGTTTCTTGTCCTCATGGAGTTTTCAGTATCATGGAGGAGACAGAAATTCATGGCATAATCTTATAAACAAATATGCCACTGAAGCTCAACATCACTGATTACTAGAGAAACGTGCATCAAAACCGCAATGAGATACCATCTCACACCAGTCAGAATGGCTACTATTGAAGAGTCAAAAAATAACAGACCCTGGTGTGGTTGTGAAGAAAAGAGAACACTTTTACACTGTTGATGGGAGTGTGAATTAGTTCAACCATTGTGGAAGACAGTGTGGCGATTCGTCAAAGACCTTAAGACAGAAATACCATTCGACCTAGCAATCCCATTACTGGGGATGTACTGAAAGGAATATAAATATTCTATTATAAAGACACATGTATGCATATGTTCATCGCAGCACTATTTACATAGCAAAGACATGGTATCAACCTAAATGTTCATCAGTGATAGACTGATTAAAGAAAATGTGGTACATACACATCATGGAATACTATGCAGCCATTAAAATGAATGAGAACATGTTGTTTACAGGGACATGGATGGAGCTGGAGGCCATTATCCACGGCAAAATAACATAGGAACAGAAAACCAAACACTGCATGTTCTCACTTATAAGTGGAAACTAAATGATCAGAACACATGGACACATAGAGGGGAACAACACACAATGGGGCATATCAGAGGGAGGAGGGAGAGGATCAGGAAAAATAACTAATGGGTACTATGCTTACTATGCTTAATACCTGGATGATAAAATAATCTGTAGAACAAACCCCCATGACAAAAGTTTACCTATGCAACAAAAGTTTACCTACATAACAAACCTGCACATGTACCCCCAAACTTAAAATAAAAGTATATATATACTTGTTTTATACTATATATATATATATTTTTTTTGTTGTTGTTGGAGGGGGGATGGAATCTCGCTCTGTCACGCAGGCTGGAGTGCAGTAGCATGATCTCGGCTCACTGCAAACTCCGCTTCCTGGGTTCAAGCGATTCTCCTGTCTCAGCCTCCCAAGTAGCTGGCATTACAAGCACACACCACCACGCCCAGCTAATTTTTGTATTTTTAGTAGAGATGGGGTTTCACCGTGTTGGCCAGGCTGGTCTTGAACTCCTGACTTCAAGTGATCCACCTGTCTCGACCTCCCAAATTGCTAGAATTACAGGTGTAAGCCACAGTTTCCAGCCAATAAAAGTATTTTTTAAAAGAAGGAAAAGCTACAGTGTAGAGAAAGTCTAAGAGGTTGAAATCTGATTGAGTCTGAGAGGACAACAAATACAACTCACTGAAAGAAAAGTATATTTGATCTAAGATCTCATGGATAAGTAGGAGTCAATGGAGCAAAAGAACAGCATTCCAGGCAGAGGGAACAGCATGTGCGTAGGCTCTGAGGCTGTAGAATATTGAAAAGGAACCAGACCCAGCAGGAATTATCATCACCATCATTTTATAAATGGGAAAACCAAGGCACAGAGACATTCAGCCACATGTCTAAGATCACATGGCTTGTAACTGATAGAGCCAGAGTTTGAATTCAGATGTTTTGAGTTCAAATCTTTTATTTTTCTACCCCTATATCATTATGGCATCAGTTATCATGTTTTGTTTTTAGGTGATTTAATATTTAAAATCATATTTGGCTGCAAAAAATAGTTCTGCAAAACTATTTGGCTGCAAAATGGTTCAAGTAAATATTTGGTTTGCCTTACTTATGTTATACATGTGATAAGACAAAGCTCCTTCCGGTTTTTTGCTTCACCATCTATTTTAGCTCATGGATCCTGGGTTACAAATAGCTGCTGTACCTGTAGGCATTAAGGTCTTGTTTCTGATGAGGACAAAAGAAGACAGAAAAAAAGAAGGAAAAGGAAGGGAAGGTAAAAAATTCATGGAAACTGAATCTGTTCCTCTTTATCCCCAGAGACACTGGAATGTTTCCAGAGAGGCATATCATTGGTTTCCACTTACAGTGGCTATGTTCTACAGCCTCTCCTGACTACAAGGGAGATGGAGAAATTGCATAGTATTGTCACCATCTTGCAAAACGTCAGCACTTTGGAATAAGGAAGAATGTAGAACGACGTTTCATGGGTGATAAAGGCATCTTCTGGGAAGGAACAAGTTGCAACTGAACACAGCAGGCATCTTCTTTGGAGGTGCTTCTAAGACATTTACACCAGGTTCCACTCTCCTAGGAGGCAGTTAGGAAGGAGTTTGCAGGATAACACAAGTGACTTGCTGCCTTTGGTGTGGAAAAGCAGCTCAGAGGAACTTCCCCTAGGTCATCACCTTTGCGACCTGCCAACATGTTTAGTGGATGCTATCTTGGTTGGGTGATCTTCATATCCTTTGCCTCTTTTTTCTGGCATTACTCTGCATTGTATGGGGTGGTGCCCAATTCCAGATTGAATTTCCCAGGTAATCCAGAGATTATCAGGGAGGAGATAGGGAAAAGCCAGGACTTTCATCTTCCACCCTCTCTGCCTTATGGGACATCTTTGTCAAAATGCTCCCAGCATCTCCTACCTGCCTCCAGCTCTCTGAAAGAGGTTCACTTCCATTCCAACTTCTCAAGGCCGGCCCTGCTCCTGGCTGTAATAACATTGCATCTTCCCTCTGTTTCTCCAGCTGAGAGGTGGCAGTGGCTTCCTCTGGTGGCTGGCAGAGTTGATTGGATCTTCCTTCACAAGTTTCCAAGGCTTAATTTGCTTTTCAAAATCCATCAAAGTGAATGTCTTTCTTTAACCCTCGTTGGAGAGATGTGTCAACCATAAACTGCCCGTAGGAGCAATGTGATACTGCTTGATTCCACAACCATTTGTGTGATTTGGGAGCATGGTTTTGCTTGATGTGTACATTCTTAACATGATGAATAGAATTGCAGAGGTGACAGAATAGAGAGAAATTGTATAGCTACTTGAAAGCCTGCCCATGCATTTATTTCCCCAGACAGACCAGCTTCATGCCTCCTGACTGATGCATCTATTACAAATGGGAGGCAGGATGGAGGATACAGAGGGTGGAAAAAAGAGAGCAGTGAAATGTTGATTCAAAAAGACAAAAAATGTAAAATAAAAGGATTTTGCATTCTAAAAATCCACGTGAGGCTTCTAGGGCAAATCCATTAGGGGAATTTTCTCAGTATGCACTGCCAGAAATTCTGTTTTAGCTTGCCTCTTAAGTGGACATTTTGCTTAAAAGGCAGAAAATATATTTCTAATCAAAGGGAAACCTTATATTCATGTCTGCTTTTAAATGAGAGCCTCAAAATCGAAATTGTTTGCCTGTACTGTAGGTCTGAATGACACTTCAGCTGGGGTATGCTGACAAGTGTTTAATAATTGGCTCTCCAGTGAGAAAAACCTCTGGTTTACAGTTTGCCATTTTCTTTGGTGTAAATACTTTCACGCTGGCCAATTTCAGACAACTGCCATGACAGTGCTGAGCATTGAGTTGGGAAGAGATGCGCAGCAGCCCAGCATTGTATAAGATCACCACCCTTCATACACAATAGATGCAGACCAAATAGAAACAACCTTGATATCACAGACGTTAAGAAAAGTTAGTAAAAAGTCTTGAAATTTTATTTAAAAATAAGTAATAAAAATTGTTACTTTTGTTTTTAATGCACTTTATTTAGTTGTAAGTTTATATTGCTGTCAAGATTTGATTACTTCATAGAAAAGTCAGTTACTAAAAGTTATTAAAGCAAAGGACCTCTTCAGGTTTCTGCTTAGTTAGTTCAGCCTGATAGTAATGATATTAATCTTACCTTCTGTATTAGTCCTTTTTCACACTGCTGTAAAGAACTACCTGACACTGTGTAATTTATAAAGAGAGGACGTTTAATTGACTCACAGTTCCGCCTGGCTGGGGAGGCCTCAGGAAACTTACATTCATGATGGAAGGTGAAGGGAGAGCAAGGCATGTCTTACATGCATCGGGAGAGAAGAGAGAGAGAGAGAAAGGAGAAATGCCAGACACTTACCAAACAGCGGGCTCTCGTGAGAACTCACTATTATGAGAACAGCATGGAGGAACCTGCCCCCATGATCCAATCACCTCCCATGAGATTTGTGTGGGGATGCAAAGCCAAACTGTATCACTTTCTTCATTTTTTAAATTGAATTTTGCTTCCAATTGTATAGCCATGTTTGGTTTCATATCCCCATGGCATGTTCTCATACCTTCCTGGGAACTCAAATAATTGACTCTCCCTCTTCCCTCTGTGGGTTTGCTGCTTGGTGTCATTCCTCAGCAGCTTGGAAAACCTCTGGAAAACTCCAGGCTCCTCACTATGTCTGAAAACAGACCTGGAGGGAAGTGCAAAATGAAATATTTCACAAAACTTTTTCTTATACAATGACTAGGAGATGGTGAGAGCTATCCTTCCTCTTTAAATATACTAAATGTGGTATAGAGTGGAAAACGTTCCTATCCAGTAATGGAGTAAAGGTCGAGTTATGACTTGGGTGTCAGTCATATTAAATTAATGTAGCCTCATAAGATTCTGTCTCCCAATTATGGCCCTTTCTGGCATCTCAGTTAAATGTGGTCTACGGTGAAGAGACGGTTTCTCGGCAACAATTTTGTGCTTTTATTTCCCAAATAACTATTGATTTGAAGACTACAGACCGTGTCTTCCTCAATTTTTCAACCAAATGAATTCAATGGTTTCTTAATCCTAATTTTACACTATGGCCAGAGACCAAAGGTTGTGTCTTTCCTTTGAATATCTCCATTGTGAAAGGAACAGAACTCCAATTTCATGGTCTGAAAAACCTTCAGAGAGAGAACTGTAAACAGGGAGCAACACCATGATCTCCCTTGAAAAATCTGAAGCAGAATATTCAAATTGGTTTCGCATATTATCTTTTCATATTTCACTCAATTCTTGCTATTGCAGGTCGAAGAGTAGAAATGTTAAGGACGATGCAGAAAACATTGCAATACACTTTTCAATTGAGGTCTTACTTCAGGCAAAATTTTAAAGAAGCTACAGACTACTTCTGGTACCTCATTTTGCTTTTATAATATTCTAAGTTTATCTCTTCTCCTCAGCATCTTGTGAAATAAGAGTTTATTATGTGTCAGCTCTGAACCATGCTTATCACTGATGCTGTAGAAACAAATAAAAGTAAATATAATCCTTTCCCTCAAGGAACCCATAGTCTATTGGAAAGACAATCAAGTAACCATTCTATGATGATGCAACCTCTCTGATAGAAGCTTCCCTCTAAATCAGAGATCAGAAAACAGGAGCCTGTGGGCCCAATCAAGACTGGCTACCTGCTCTTATAAATACCTGCTCTTTGCAAATGTTTTATTGAGACACAGCCATGTTCTGTATGCACTGCCTATGTCCACTCTGCACTGCAAAGGCAGAATTAAGTTGTTGCAACAGAGACACATTGCTCCTGAAGCCAGAAATATTTACTGGTCCTTCCTTTTTTTTTTAACTTTTATTTTAGGTTCAGGGATACATGTGAAGGTTTTTTACACAGGTAAACTTGTGTCGGGGGGTGTCGTACAGATTATTTCATCACTCAGGTATTAAGCACAGTTCCCAATAGTTATCTTTTCTGCCCCTCTCCCTCCTCCCAACCTCCACCCTCAAGTCGACCCTGGTGTATGTTGTTTCCTTCTTTGTGTTCATAAGTTCTTATCACTTGGCTCCCACTTATAAGTGAAAACATATGATATTTGGTTTTCTGTTCCTGTGTTAGTTTGCTAAGGATAATAGCCTCCAGCTCCATCCATGTTCCTGCAAAAAAAATTTCATTTTTTGTTATGGCTGCATAGTATTCCATGGTGTATATGTACCACATTTTCTTTATCCAATCACTGATGGGCATTTAAGTTGATTCCATGTCTTTGCTATTGTGAATAGTGCTGTAATGAACATATATGTGCAGGTATCTTTTTAACAGAATGATTTATATTCCTCTGGATATACATCCAGTAATGGGATTGCTAGGTCAAATGGTAGTTCTGCTTTCAGCTCTTTGAGGGGATCACCAAACTGCTTTCCTCAATCTACCTGGTTTTTTAAAGAAAATGTGCAAACTCACACTCTAAAGCATTGGCTCTTAAACTTCAGCATATATCAGAATCACCTGGAGAGCTTGGTGAAATGCTAATTGGTGGGTTCCATGGCACTTTTGATTCTGTAGATCTGGGGTAGAGCCCAAAGATTCACATTTCTAGTGTGGACCCAGGTAATGGTTATGCTGTTAATGAGAGAACTACATTGAAAAACACTAATGTTAAAATTTAACACATTTTTGGATATTGTAAGTAAACCTAACTGGCAAATGTGTGAAGCACACAGCTTGTTTTTTCTGTACCACTCCTTTGTTCCAATCAGAAATGTTTCTCTGTAGCCCGAATAAATATAGCTTGTTTACATGCTCAAGAATGTGGTAGGGTAAAGGAGGGAGGAACACAAGGCTAGATACTTGATATGGTTTTGCTGTGTCCCCACCCAAATCTCATCTTGAATTGTAGCTTCCACAATTCCCATGTGTTGTGGGAGGGATCCAGTGGGAGGTAATTGAATCATGGGGGTGGATCTTTCCTGTGCTGTTCTTGTGATAGTGAAGAAATCTCATGAGATCTGATGGTTTTATAAGGGGAAGTTTCCCTGCACAAGCTCTCTTTTTGCCTGCTGCCATCCATGGAGGACATGACTTGCTCCTCCTTGCCTTCCACCATGATTGTGAGGCCTCTCCAGCCATGCAGCCATGTGGAACTGTGAGTCCATTACTCCTCTTTCTTGTATAAATTACCCAGTCATGGGTATGTCCTTATTAGCAATGTGAAAATGGACTAATACAGTAAATTGGTATTGGTAGAGTGGGGTGCTGCTGTAAAGATACCTGAAAATGTGGAAGTGACTTTGGAAATGGGTAACAGACAGGAGTTAAAACAGTTTGGAGGGCTCAGAAGAATACAGGAAAATATGGGAAAGTTTGGACTTCCTAGAGACTTGTTGAATGGCTTTTCCCAAAATGCTGATAATGAGATGGACAATAAAGTCCAGTCTGAGGTGGTCTCAGATGGAAATGAGGATCTTGTTGGGAACTAGAGTAAAAGTGACTCTTGTTATGTTTTAGCAAAGAGACTGGCAGCATTTTGTCCCTGCCCTAGAGATTTGTGGAACTTTGAACTTGAGACAGATGATTTAGGGTATCTGGCAGAAGAAATTTCAAAGCAGCAAAGCATTCAAGATATGACTTGGGTGTGTTAAAGGGATTCAGTTTGATAAGGGAAGCAGAGCATAAAAGTTTGAAAAAATTTGCAGCCTGATGATCTGATAGAAAAGAAAAACCTATTTTCTGAGAATAAATTCAAGCTGGCTCCAGAAATTTGCATAAGTAACAAGGAGCCAAATGTTAATCCCCAAGACAATGGTGACAGTGTTTTCAGGGCATGTCAGAAGTCTTCAAGGCAGCCCCTCCCATCACAGGCCTGGAGGCCTATGAGCTAAAAATGGTTTCATGGGCCGGGCCCAGGGTCCCCATGCTGTGTGCAGCCTAGGGACTTGGTGCCCTGCATCCCAGACCCTCTAGCCATGGCTGAAAGGGGCCAATATAGAGCTAAGACCATGGCTTCAGATGATGCAAGACCCAAGCCTTGGTAGCTTCCACATGGTGTTGAGCCTGCAAGTGCACAGAAGTCAAGAAATGGGGTTTGGGAACCTCTGTCTAGATTTCAGAGGATGTATGGAAATGCCTGGATGCCCAGGCAGAAGTTTGCTGCAGGGGTGGGGCCCTTATGGAGAATCTCTGCTAGGGCAGTGAAGAAGGAAAACATGGGGTTGGAGCTCCCACACAGAGTCCCTACTGGGGCACTGCCTATTGGGCTGTGATAAGAGGGCCACCATCCTTCAGACCCCAGAATGTTAGATCCACCAACAGCTTGCACTGTGTACCTTGAAAATCCACAGACACTCAACACCAGCATGTGAAAGCAGCTGGGAGGGAGGCTGTACCCTGCAAAGCCACAGGGGTGGAGCTGCCCAAGTCTATGGGAACCCACATTTTGTATCAGCATGACCTGGTTGTGAGACGTGAAGTCAAAGGAGAACATTTTGGAGCTTTAAGATTTGCCTTCCCCGCTGGATTTCAGACTTGTATGGGGCCTGTAGCCCCTTTGTTTTGGCCAATCTTTCCCATTCAGAATGGCTGTATTTACCCATTGCCTGTAACCCCATTGTATCTAGTGAGTAACTAACTTGCTTTCAATTTTATAGGATCATATGCAGAAGGTACTTACCTTGTCTCAGATGAGACATTGGACTGTGGACTTTTGAGTTAATGCTGAAATGAGTTAAGACTTTGGGGGACTGTTGGGAAGGCATAATTGGTTTTGAAATGTGAAGACATGAAATTTGGAGGGCCAGGGAAGAAATGATGTGGTTTGACTGTGTCCCCACCCAAATCTCATCTTAAATTTTATCTCCCACAATTCTTACGTGTTGTTGGGGAGACCTGGTGGGAGGTAATTGAATCATGGTGGCAGGGTTTTCCCATACTGTTCTTGTGATAGTGAGTAAGTCTCATGACTTACTCACAGTTTTATAAGGGGGAGTTTCCCTGCACAAGCTCTCTCTTCGCCTGCTGCCATCCATGGAAGATGTGACTTGCTCCTCCTTGCCTTCCACCATGATTGTGAGGCCTCCCCAGCCATGTAGAACTGTGAGTCCATTAAACTCTTTCCTGCATAAACTACCCAGTCTCTGGTATGTCTTTATTACCAGTGTGGAAACAAAATAATACCATACTTTTGCTTATTTTTGGTTTGTTTGTTTTTATAGGCTTTTAAGTTCAAGGAAGTAAAGGAATGTAAAGTTAGATAGGGGTCCTTTATTTACAAAGACAAAAATGATGAGAAGTCTTCCAATGTGATTCTTAATCAGATGTTTGGCTTATCAATGACCTACAGTTAGTCTAGGTCTTAGAGGAGCCAGATAACTCTACTTCTAGAAGTTTAGGCATCATCACTCTGTCTAAGTGCCACCTCTCTAGCAGTAGATCATGGTTAGGTTTATTCCAATCACTGTTTCAGGTACTCACTCTCTCATCCTCTCTGTAGCTATAGGTGACCATATGACCCAATCCAGCCAATGAGGAGCAAAATGAATTTATCTAGCAGTGTTTTGGGTTAAGATTATTCATTTAAGAAAATACTGATATGAGAATTAGCTCCATCTTCTCTTCTTTAGATGCTGCTATAGGAGAATATACTTACAATCTTCTTGCAAACATTAGGTGGGATCCTAGAGAACCCAGATGTTTATCCAAGGTCCTGTCACCATTTGACTGCTGACATACATAAAACATGTGCCTCCACATTTTTTATAACATAAAAAATTAAACATCTTTCTTGTAAGACACTGTCAGTAGTAGGTTTTTTTTTTCCAGTTAAAATAGCCCTGACTATACATTTGCTTACTTTTCTTGAGCTGAAAAGAAATTATAATCTAACTTCATCTGAGTATTATTCAATGTGGTACATAGAAAATGAAACTTAAAAGAGAAACTAAAACATGATTATTAACACATAATTGGTTTCAACATTTACCAACAAACACCAGTACAGGAGGATACCTTTGCCCCTTAAATGATGGATCAGCACATTTTCCCTGAGTTTCTTTTCCTCAGATTATATCAAGGCTTTGGTGAAATCCATCTGTCCTGATACTTTGGTGGTTGGTGTTCTTGGCAGCTGAAATAATTTGGCAAGCTGGTGTCCATTTTTATCATAGACTTAAGTAGATATAATCAATCTTTGGCTTGCTATTTCACGTTGAGAGTACATTCTTGATTCATGCCTTATTTGGAGAAGCTGCCAACATCCACTTATCACACGTAAAATTACGGGAGAAGAGAGGAAACAAAGTCATCAAGTCTCTGGAAGTCAGAGTATCCATTCTCAGCAAGATTGTTAGATTCACAATCTATGATTCTGAAGAATGAGTGTACTTTATTCGATAGAAAGTGCAATCCTGAAAATTCAAAATTATGTGGGCTTTGGGGTTATTTTGTATGGGTTCTGATTTTATTTTTGTTATCTAATAGTGTAATGACTTTAGGCAAGTCAGAATTGGTCTATATTTTAGTTTCATCAGTAAAACTGGAAATTTGTATTGCGGAATTTAAGTGAAATAATGTGGATAAATCACAGGAACCTAAAACCGATTTTCTTAATAGAGAGATAGATATAGGTAAACATATAGATAGAAAGATATATAATGTATGTAATATGTATGCAATAGTATTACAATTATATTGTATTACAATATATGTAATACGTATACTATTGCACATGTATATGTAATATGTACATGTGCAATAGCATACATATTACATACACATATTTAATAGTATACATATTGCATACACATATTACATACACATATGTACTTTATTTGATAGAAAGTGCAATCCTGAAAATTCAAAATTATGTGGACTTTGGGGTTATTTTGTATGGTTTCTGATTTTATTTTTGTTATCTAATAGTGTAATGACTTTAGGCATACACATATGTATAGGTAATATGTATACTATAGCTCAGCTACAATATAAATTATTACTAGAGAGAGCTAGAAATCCTGCTGATGAAGTAACAAGAGTGAAGAGGCTAAAGGTGGTTCTTTTGATATTAGCAGCCACATCCAGGTGAGATATTAAATTTGCATCACTGTCACCTGACTTCAAGTTTTTATCTTTATCTTTGATTTTCAGTTGTTTGAATATGGTTTGTCGAAATAAAATATAAATTACTAAATGTTTAAAATAATGATTAAAATGAATTTAAAGTAGTTGAAGTAAAATTTACCAAAACTGAACCACAGAGAGAAAAGAGAATGAAGACACAGAGCATACTTTTCATATCCAGTGGGGTGATTTCAGTCTAATACGCATGTAATTGGAAATCCAAAAGAAGACGGCAAAAAAGATGGAGGGGAAAAATTATTCAAAGAAGGAATAGCTGCGAATTTTCCAAAAAGAATCAAACCATTAATCCAGAAACCTCAGAGAAGAACAAGTGGTTTTTGTTTTGTTTTTTTTAAGCTAAACAAATTATATTTGAATTCTGAAAATCAACAATAAAGACAAAAACTTGAAGGCAGGAGGCAAGTAGCAAATGGAAAGACATTTCAGGGGAAAGGACTTTGAGTCAGGATGCAATTAGTGAAGAATGAGTCCACCTGTGACTGATTTACCTGTTTAATTTTCTCCAGAGCGTCGAATCCGATAAAGAAAAAAAAAACGCTTGCACTCTCGGAAGCTTTCTTGTTCTTGCCACTCCTTCTCTGTGTCTTGTTCTTCCGACTGCAGCTTCGGTGGATCTGGGGCTGGTTCAAATTGCTGACCTGAGGATTCCCAGCATGGATCTAATGTCTAATGAGGATGAGTTGGTGTCCCAAACACTCATGGAAACATCCACCTTTATGGCTGCAGAATCTCTTCAGCACTGATGTGAACTTTACATGGAGGAGAACTCATTAAAAACGTGCGTTTCTGGACCATCTCAAAGATTCTGATTGGAAGTTCTAGAGTCAGGCCCTGGAAGGTATATTATTCACACAGGATTCTTCAAGATTCTGATGTATGTGTCGTATTATTGAACCCTCATGGCACCACATTGAGTTAGATGCTATGACTATCCCCACTATACAGAACAGGAATGTTAAGCTCACAGGCCCAATATTCAAAACTAATAAGTAACAGAAATTGAGCTCAATTCCACACCTATCTGAGACCCAAAACCAGGTCTCCAAGTTGCTCTTAATCTTTTCCCCACACTGCCCATCCCTTCTTTCTGTCTCCTACCCTTGTAACATTGAGACAGGCAGTGGCTCTACCAGGGGAACTAGAACGTATTTCTTCCCCGGTCTGGAGATGCAGAACACTGAGCATAATAAGTGCTTCTCAAGCTTTAATATTCACTTGAATTACCTGGAGATCTTGTTAAATATGCAGATTTTGATCCAGTAGTTTTGGGATGGAACCCAAGGTTTGGTGCTCTTAACGAGCTCCCAGGTGTGGGTAGTTGCAAGTAGACGTACAAGTTTGTCTGTCAATAGTTAGACATTGTCTTCTCCTGAAAATCTTTCAGTTTTATCCGATTCAATAATGTGCGATTCAAGTAAATACAGACATTTAAATGCCACGCCCTTCAGCAAGCCTGGGACACAAGAAGGGAAAAACTTGTTCTTCAGAGGCTCGGTCAGTGTCTACTGGGAAGGCAGATGTGTTCAGCACTGTAACATAAACAGGAATCTTACATCAGTGTGTTAATTTTGGTCTTAAAAAAATAAACCTTTGATTAGAGCACAAGAAAGTGAAAGAGGAGTAGGGGGTATTAAGACTTGGACAGGGAAAGAAGGGATTTTGAGAAGAGTAATATTGGAATGAGTTTTTTAATTACTAGAAATTCAAAAAATAACAGAAACAGGCCGGGTGCAGTGGCTCACGCCTGTAATTCCAGCACTTTGGGAGGCTGAGGAGGTGGATCGTGAAGTCAGGAGTTCACGACCAGCCTGGCCAAGATGGTGAAACCCCATCTGTACTAAAAATACAAAAATTAGCCAGGTGTAGTGGCAGGCACCTGTAATCCCAGCTACTCAGGAGGCTGAGACAAAGAATTGCTTGAACTCAGGAGGTGGAGGTTGCAGTGAGCCGAGATCATGCCATTGCACTCCAGCCTGGGAGACAGAGGGAGGCTGTCTTAAAAAATAAATAAATAAATAAATAAATAAATAAATAAATAAATAAATAAATAACAGAAACAAAATACCACTCACTGACATGTATGCTTACACCTTATGTGCTTGGAATTTTGCATTGTGTTGTTAGCTCCATAGCAACCCTGTGATATCAGTATTATTATCCCCATTTATCAGATGAAGAACTTGAGGCTGAAACCGGTTAAGTAAACTCACCAAAGGAAACCCAGCCAGCATGAGGTGCAGCTCAGGTTTAAACCCACTGTCTGGCTCGCTGTCTGGCTCGAGAGTGACTTATGGAAGGAAGGGCATGAAGAAGGACCATGCCGCTGCACAAGTGTCCAGGGAACCTCAGGCCATTTCACAAGGACAAGCTCAGGCCAAGTGAGTCTGCCTCTAAGAAGAGAGACTGGGGAGGTGGAAGCAAGTTGCTTTGGTGGATTGGACAGCCATGCTGATGAGTCAGGGCTCTTGTTTGTGAGCAATCAGGGGCATTTCATGGTTCTTGATGAAGAGAGCAAAGATCAGCTGGTGGCCATCAAGCCGACCAAGAATTCTTTCCCAAGAATTTATAATAACTGGAATTTCTATACATCTCCAGAATGCATGCATGTCAAAACCCATTATGCAACCTTTGCTGACATCAAGGTGCCAAAACATCTACAAATGTAATAGCTACCATGACCTACATAACTAATACAGTCCAGGTTCAAATTACCCTTAAGCTCCTGACACAATCCTGTCACTTTCTAGATGCATCTGGAGAACCCGGAGAAACCTAGCGTAACCCTCCCATCTCAATCAGACTGAAAGGTCCATCAATACCACGAAGGACAATCCACCGCAGTGCACTTAGTCCTCTCTTGCTGAGATGCCCCTCTGCACTCGGCTGCAGCGTTTCTTTCCATCTAATACGATATTCCATTTCAAGCCTATGCTGTTGTTGGTAAATTCTTCTTGCTACCCATGAGCGAACCACTCTCTACTGCCAGGGCTGTGACACCTCGCCGGACACCTCGCCTGGCACTTGAGAAGGAAACAGCAAAATGATCAGAACTTTCAGAAAATTAGGCTCAGTATCCCCCTATCAATCAAAGAGAGGATACAGAAAATGTATATATGTACTATGCAATACTACTCAGCCATAAACAGGAACAAAATAATGGCATTTGCAGCAACCTGGATGGAGTTGGATATCATTATTCTAAGTGAAGCAACTCAGGAATGGAAAACCAAACATCATATGTTCTCACTTACAAGTGGGAGCCAAGCTATGAGGACACAAAGGCATAAGAATGATACAATGGACTCTGAGGACTCAGGGGGAAGGGTGGTAGGAGGAGGAAGGATAAAAGACTACACACTGGGTACAGTGTACACTGCTTAGGTGATGGGTGCACCAAAAATCTCAGAAATCACTACCGAAGAACTTATTCATGTAATCAAACACCACCTGTTCCCCAAAAACCTATTGAATTTTTTTAAACAATGGAATGGATTGACACAAGGAAGTAGAAGCCATAGGTTGGCATTCCCCCTAACTAAGAAGTTAACTATGAAATAATCAATGTAGTAAAAGTGTAATTCTATCTCTAAGAGACGTTGGTGAGGACCCGGCACAATGGCCAGGAAAAAAGCTCAGGGCTTCAAGTGAGGAAGGAATGGTGAGAGGGTTATGGTGGAAGCTGAATTAACAAGTTCTTTTCTAAATTTGTTTTTTTTTTTATTTTGCTGTACATTGACAATTCATACTTGCATACGTTTACGGGGTACAAAGTGATATTATGATCCATGAATACAGCGTTGAATAATTAAATCAAGTTAATTAGTATATCTATCATCTCAAATACTTAAATAGTTTTTGTGGTGAGAACATTTAACATTTACTCTTTTAGTGATGTTTCAATGTACAATACCCTGTTATTGACTATGTTCACCATGTTGTGCAATAGGTCTCAAAAAAATAAAAAGATTCCTCTTGTCTAACTGAGATTTGTACCCTTTAACCATCATCTGCCCATTACCATCTCCCCTCTAGCATCTGGAACCACCATTTTACTCTCTGCTTCTATAATTTGATTGTTTTGGATTCCACATATAAGTGAGAACTGCAATATTTATCTTTCTGTGCCTGGATCATTTCATTTATCATAATGTCCTCTAGTTTCATACCTGTTGTGGCAAATGGCAGAAATCCCTTCTGTTTTAAGGCTGCGTAGTATTCCATTGTGTATACACACACAAGGCACAAACACACATTTAAATTTTTAGATTTTTCACATTTTTAAAAATCCCTCCATCTGTTGATGGACACTCAGTTTGGTTCTGCATCTTGGCTGTTGTGGCTAGTGCTACAATGATCGTGGAAGTACAGAGATCTCATCGATAAACTAACTTCAAATCTTTTGGGTAAATACTCAGAAGTAGGATTGCTGGACAGTATGATAATGCTATTTCTAGTTTTTTGGAGAACTGCCATACCATTATCCTTAATAACTTTGTTAATTTGCATTTTCACCCACAGCACACAAGTGTTCTCTTTTCTCTATATCCTTGCTGCCTGCTGCTTCCTATTTTTTGGCTTTTTGATAATAACCTGAATTAACAAGTTTTAAAGATCCATTGCCTGTGGAACAAGAAAGGGAGGAAAAAATGTCAAATGACTAGAATGCTTTTAGTCCCTGATCCTGGGAAGGCGGTTATTGATACCCACAACCAGATTCCCTAAAGTGAGAAGAGCTTTGTGAGAGAAATCAAGCTCCCCTGAGGTCTGTGACTTTTGAAATGTCTTTAGGACATTGAAAACACTGATCTAGAGCCCCGAGGAGCAGCCACCTCTCAGCTCCAACATCCTTTCTATCTCACGTCCCACCTCTTCCATGAAGCGTGCCCTGACCCCTCAGTCTGCACTGTGTTGTCCGTCGCTGACCCATTGTTGTGGGTGGACACAGTGCCCTAGTGTTCTGTGATGCAGTCTCCTATTATCTCATATGTTGGGTTCCGCTGAGCTGAGCTCTCCCTCACTAGTGATGACATCTGTATTATTTATGTCTGAGAAGGTTGTGAACTCCTGAAGCTTCATCTGAGTTCCAGTCCCTGGGGATTTGGGGGAATTTAACTCCATTGAGGATTAGAAGGTCATTGCTTCTCTATGATTTTGGCTATGCCCTTGATGTCTCTAAGATGAAGAAGCAACAACAATGACAATCACAGGAACAATAAAAATCAATACTGGCTGCTAAATTTTCTCTGAAAATATTTATTGGGCTGTGCATGGTTTAAAGAAAATATATGGGTTTATATGATTTTTAGACAGGGTAAAATTCTCCAGTTGAAGAAAACTCCCACCATTCCTTATTGCCTTAATCCTTTCCAGTTCATCCACCCATCTGACTTCTGAAAGCACACGTCTTCAGCCCCTGACCTGAGGTCTGTCCTCTGTCCTGTGGTGATCTACCTGGCTCCCCTCACTAGTACCACACTTACTGCCTTCACACCAACTGGAGCTCTTAACAAGAATGGATCATATTCTTTTCTTTCTTCACCTTCTTTTTTAAATTGTCAGCAGTGAGGCATTATAATGAGTGTGTCTGTCACCAACGCTCCATAGGTTAGCATTCCCCCTTACTAAGAAGTTAACTATGAAATAATCAATGTAGTAAAACAGTGTAATTCTATCTCTAAACTACTAAACTTGGAAAAACACCAGATTCAATGGCATCTCATGCTAATCTGCCTGTGGAACAAAAACCCTGGATCCACAAGTTGAGACCCTCATACCATGCATTAGTATTCATTTAGTGATGTCTCCAGCAGACCCTGCTTACCTCCTTTTTGCTGGCTGACTCATTCCCGCTCATTTTCTCTTGTTATATTTGCAGGCTCACTGCCCAGTAGAAGCTGAAAAGATTCAGTATGAGTAAAAGAAGAGATCTGAAATTTGCAGCTTGTCATAGAAAGGTATTTGTTTTCTTTTTATTTATTTGTTTTAAACTTTGATTTTAGGTTCAAGGGTTACATGTGCAGGTTTGTTAATACAGGCAAACTCATGTCATAGGGGTTTGGGGTACAGACCATCTCATCTCTCAGGTAATAAGCATGGTACCCGACAGTTATTTTTCTTGATCCTCTGTCTCCTTCCATCTTCCTCCTTTAAGTAGGTCCCAGTGTTGGCTGTTCCCCTCTTTGTGTCTATTGGTTCTCATTATTTAGCTCCCCCATATAAGCGAGAACATGCAGTATTTGGTTTTCTATTTCTGCATTCTTTCACTAACGATAATGGTCTCCAGCTCCATCCATGTTCCTGCAAAGGACATGATCTCATTCATTTCACTGCTGCATAATATTCCATGGTATAAATGTACCATATGTTCTTTATCTAGTCTATTGTTGATGGGCATTGAGGTTGATTCCATGTCTTTGCTATTGCGAATAGTACTTCAGTGAACCTACGTGTACATGTTTCTTTATGGTAGAACAATTTATATTCCTTACTACCCAATAATTGGATTGCTGGGTCAAATGGTAGTTCTGTTTTTAATTCTTTGAGGAATCACCACACTGCTTTCCACAATTATGCGAGAAAGTTCAATAACACTCATCATCAGAGGCTTCTGTTTTGTAAAACAAGTATGTTGGTCTTTGAGTTATGCCTGGATATTTCCTGCTGGCCCCTCAAAGATGTATTTTTTTGTTAATCCTACTTCCTGCTCTGCACCCTGGGAGATGGAGGGCTGCAGTTTGCTGCCAGTTGTGGTCAGGCCATGAGAGAAACTCCCAGAAGGTCAGAGGGTGGCAGGAGAGAGCTCAGAGTGTTGATCCTCCTGGCTCTGCCCCAGTGGTGTCGCTGCTCAGCATTGCCGTTTATGCTCCTCAACATGAGGACACAGCCTTGTCCTTGAGGGAGGCTGTCTCCTGGATTTCTTCAGGACCTAGAACCAGCTCTCTTCCATTTCCCGCTTCAGGATGAAGAACAGTAGGGGCTTCTCCTGGGTGCTTCCCAATCTTGTTTTTGTTCCTGTTACACTAACAGGATCACTGTTAATTTTCCCAATCTCTTTAGTCACTCATTTGAATGAACTATTTCTCACAGCTATTCTAACTGATACAGGTTACTTTATTTATATTTTTGAAAATGACTCCCAAGGTGCTTCAGGATGTTTTACTTTATTTCATCTTAGCCTGTGCCTGGTGGCCGGTTTTGATGAATCTTGGATCCCTATTTCAGCATGAGGCGTTAGCATCTCTGGCTGCAATGAATGAAATGCAGCCATTCCGAGAAATATATGCACACAGTTTAGAAGTACCCACTGTCCTATAGCTCCCATTTACTAAATGAAAAGAGAATAACGCTGGAGGCTGCAAACCATCCCCGGCCTTCTGTCTGGATAGAGTGGTTATAAACAAAACAAAACAAAACAAAAAACAAATTTCTGTCCTGCACCTCAGAGACTCACACATCTTTGGAAATAAGTCTAGGTGTTTTCTGATGTTTTAAAATCCAATACAAAGTATTCCAAATGCAAGGAGACATATTGGATGGGGTGAGCTTAGTATGCACGCCTTAAGATGAGCGTTTATGCAAATTAGCAGGTCCACTTGAAGGAATCCCTTCCAGAGAATCTGATGAGTGAGCTCCCAGCTTTGTGGATGCCATCAACACTTGAAAACTACTGAAGCATCTGCAGGCATCGGCTGGGTCAGCTAGTTAGGAAGAAGCAGTAAAACAAACTACCTCTTCTCTATGGAACATATTTCCACTTGTGTAATTAAAGAGGTGTAGGCCTGTTTCTGAGTTAGAAGAAAAGGCATTTCCAAAGAAGCAATAGAAACAACTCGGATGCCTGCTGGTCCTATGTCTATGCAAGCGGAAGTTGTGTGGTTCCCACTCAGTGAATAATAGAGTTTATACCATACTTGCACTGCATTATAGCAGGCTGTTTGCTTCCTAACTCCCCCTTCCCTCAACTCTCTCTTTCATAGATTCTTCTTTCTTCTGCTTGTGCGCAGGATAGCATTGCTCTCATGGGTGCTGTTCACCAAACACAGGGACTCTTCACCTCATGGGCTAAGGATTGCTGGTGCTGGCTGGGTGAGGTCATGTGACTATTTCTGGTCAATGAATTTTCAGCAGAGTTTTTAAAATAAGTTTTTTCTTATTGATATATATTTGTACATTTTTTCCTTCCTTCCCTTCCCTTTCTCCTTCCTTCCTTCCCTCCCTCCCTCCTTTCTTTCTTTTCCTTCTTTCTTTCTCTTTCTTTCTTTCCTTCTTTCTTTCTTTCTCTCTTTCTCTATTTCTCTCTTTCTTTCCTTCTTTTGCTTTCTTTCTTTTAATTTCTTTCTTTCTTTCATGGAGAGTCTTGTTCTGTCTTCCACATTGGAATGCAGTGGCACAATCTTAACTCACTGCAGCCTCAAACTCCTGGGCTCAGGCAGTTCTCTCACCTTGGCCTCCCAAAATGCTGGGATTATAGAAATTATAGTGAGCCATTGTACTCAGCTATTGTACATATTTTTGAGATACATGTAATATTTTGATACATGTATACGATGTGTAATAGTCAAATCACAGTAACTGGAATATCCGTAACTTCAAATATGTATATTTTCTTTGTGTCAAAAACATTCCAATTCTTCTCTTCTAGCTATTTTGAGATATAGAATAAATTATTATTAGCTATGGTTATGCTACTGACCTATCAAACACTGGGTCTTGCTTCTTCTGTCTGACTATGTATTCTATCCATTGATCAACCTCTTTTCAACGTCCCTTTTCCATACCCTTCTCTGCATCTGGTTTTATAATTACTGAGAAGCTTTTTAAAAGGTACTGATGTCTAGAACATTGAATTAGTGTCTCTCAGGATGAGATCTAAGAAACAGTGATATTTTAAATCTCCTGAGTTGATTTTAGTATACAACTGATGTTGAGAACAGTTAGTTAGACCACAATAAAGAAAACAAAGAGAACATTCCTGGGCTTGGGTAGACTATGTTAATGGGTATAGTGCACATGTCACATTTATGTTTTTTATTTTAATGTTGGTGCCAATCACTGATGTCATTTCTATGAATAAAAGTTATTGCATTTCACAAGCAACATCCAAGAGCCCCTTTGGTCTATGGCACCTCCAAGAGTTATAAAGAAAGCCAAAGGCAGCCAGATGCAGGCATGCCCAGTCTCTCCTCCTTTCTGTCATGTTTTCTGTGATGCCATCATTGCCTAGGACACCACTGCACACATGGTCTTCTGATTCAGCTCTGTTGTTTCTCAAGTGCTACACCTTAACAAAGACAAGTACTGAAAGTGATTTAATTGAATTCAACATGGTGGTGAGAGGGGTGCCCTCCTAACTTACCAATAGCTTCTCTCCCTTCAGGTGCGGTCTAAAGATCCTTTGTCCCACCACACAGGAAACCAAAGATGCATCCTGGAGATTTAGCAAAGCTTAACCTCATATTACCTGAATATCTTTGTTTGAGACAGAATGAAGTGGCCATCTGTCCATTTCCCCTCAGGACTGAAAGCCCTGGCTTGTAGGTCAACCTGATCCTCATGTATAGATTCCTGTGGTCCCAAACTTGGGTCCTTTGTTGAGCAACAATGGCTGAAATCTTCATCCTTTGTATTATCTCTAAGAGCTTCCTTTATCCCAATGGTTTTAAGGATGGAATTTCTTATTTTCAAAAAAAGTATCTTTCATTCTTTAGTGAATAAATAAAATGACCATTCTCATACCTTGAGATTCTGCTCTGCCTCCCCTAGATACACTAGGGTAGGCATGTCCACTATTTCCAAGCTCTCTTCACTGAGAATTATTACTCTATTTTCAGATAGCCACTAGACTTGAATACTATGTCGAAAAGGGGTCAGCAAAGTCTGCCCACAAACAAATTCAGTTTGGGGGTCAATTCCAGCTGATAGCCTGTTTTTGTTCAGCCTTTGAACTAAGAGTTGGTTTTACATTTTTAAAAAAGTTGTATAGGAGAAGAAAAGGAAGAGGAAAGAAAGGGAGGAGGAGATGAAGAGGATGAAAAGAAAGAGGAGGAGGAGCAAAAGAAGGGGAGAAAGAGAAGGAGGAAGGAGGCAGAGGAGGAATATGAGGAGGAGGAGAAGAAGAGGAAGGAGAAGAAGAGGAAGAAGAAGAAGAAGAAGCAGCTGTAAAACCCAAGAAACTTAAACTGTTTGCTATTCAACTCTACAGCAAAAGTTTACTAACCCTTTGTTTGAGTCTGCATTTTTTAGTTTGCATATGAAAAATAAGGTCTGTCTAATCTTATCCCAGTATTCAATTATTTTTAGTAGTGAAATGCTTTACCAAAATAAAAATACACACCCCTCCAGAGTATATCACCTGCTGTACGCCCTTAAGAGTCACTGATCAATTTTTCCTGCCTGAATCCCCAGGTAGGACTCAACATAATAACCTCTATTGACCCCCACTAAATATGTACTAGACTCCGCTTTACATAAATTGCATCATTTAACCCAAAGAGGTAAACTACTGATAACATACCTATTTTACAAGTAAGGAAATTGATGCACAGAGAAGGTGGTGACTTGCCCCAGGTCCCAGAGCTACTCCATGCTGGAGCTGGGGCTTGGCTGCAGAGCTTGGGCTTGTATCACCCAACCAGCTGGTGTTTCTCATAGTCCATTGCTGTTTCCCCTGGATCCATTGCCCCTCTGTTTTCACACTGAGCATAGTGCAAGTAATTGCATCACACATGTTGTGTAGTACTATAACTTTCTCTGTCTTAAGCTGTCTTGCCAACAGACTGTGAGGTTGCTGAGGATGAGCCGACACTGAGCATAGTGCAAGTAATTGCATCACACATGTTGTGTAGTACTATAACTTTCTGTCTTAAGCTGTCTTGCCAACAGACTGTGAGGTTGCTGAGGATGAGCCGGTGTCTCAGTCATCTCTCTTCACTACCTGAAACAAAACCTAAATGTATTCAGTGCTCAGCAATGCTGCTTAGAATGAATGGATAGATAGGTGCATCAATGAATGGCAGGGAGTCATTTCTCTGATTGTGATTGCTCACTGTCTTCTGTGCTGAATGGGCTGAGGGTAGACAGCCCACAGCCCCTGACTCACAAAGAAACAGGCTCACTCACTATAAAGATTATTGGGAGATGATAATTTTCAGAGAAGGAATCATTGATATCTTCTGCCCGGAATCCCATGGCTTTAGAGACATGCGTTTTTGGGGAGAGAATTTCACAGATTCTCTTCTTCACTGTTTACAAACAACTGAGCCAACTAGTGGGGTTGATGAGTGTGTAGATTTTCCAAGGTCATAGTAGGTAACATTTGCATGTCATAATATGTAACATTTGTAGGTCATAGTGTGTAACACTTGTGTGTTATAGTATATAACATTCGTAAGTCACAACATATAATATTTGTAGGTCATAACGTGACATTTGCATGTCATGGTATGTAATATTTGTAGGTCATAGCATGTAACATTTGTAGGTCATATTATGTAACACTTGTAGGTCATAATAGGTAACATTTGTTAAGTAAGTTGGTCCACAGCCTGCTTCTCCCATCTACTCACCTCCCTGTAACAATGTGCAGGCTGTTTTACTTGTTGCTCATATTTCAACCTATTAATTAATTTTTAATATTTGTAAGAGTCAGCATAAATTCCCCAAGATAAAGTTGATTTCAGTAATAGTCATAAGTAATGTATAAAACATAACATGTTCTGTTTTTGTTTTTGTTTTTGATACAGAGTCTCACTCTGTCACCCAGGCTGGAGTGCAGAGTGCAGTGGTGTGATCTCAGCTCACTGCCACCTTCTCCTCCTGGGTTCAAGTGATTCTCCTCTGTCTTAGCAATTGCTCAACATGCCTTTTGCTTCTTCCAGACATTAGAATTTAAATGTTATTCAATACAACATTCAGCAGCAGTGGGTTTTTCCTGCAGCTCCTTCACCTGGCATTCCTGAACTCTCAGGAAGCGTTCCCCTTTTATTTCCTTTCTTTATACAATGGGAATTCCCTGAGCAGACATGTTCAACTGTACTCCTATTGGGAGCAGTACTGACTTTTCATTGTTTCTTTCCCCCGGAAAACTGACACCCCCATTAAATATGCCCTCTGCCACCAGGCCTGTGAGAGCAACATGGGATATGCTCAGATCTCGACGAAGAAAACAGCAAAAGAAACCACCATCAGAGTGAACAGGCAACCTACAAAATGGGAGAAAATTTTTGCAACCTACTCACCTGACAAAGGGCTAATATCCAGAATCTACAATGAACTCAAACAAATTTACAAGAAAAAAACAACCCCATCAAAAAGTGGGCAAAGGATATGAACAGACACTTCTCAAAAGAAGACATTTATGCAGCCAAAAGACACATGAAAAAATGCTCATCATCACTGGCCATCAGAGAAATGCAAATCAAAACCACAATGAGATACCATCTCACACCAGTTAGAATGGCAATCATTAAAAAGTCAGGAAACAACAGGTGCTGGAGAGGATGTGGAGAAATAGGAACACTTTTACACTGTTGGTGGGACTGTAAACTAGTTCAACCATTGTGGAAGTCAGTGTGGTGATTCCTCAGGGATCTAGAACTAGAAATACCATTTGACCCAGCCATCCCATTACTGGGTATATACCCAAAGGACTATAAATCATGCTGCTATAAAGACACATGCACACGTATGTTTATTGCGGCACTATTCACAATAGACTTGGAACCAACCCAAATGTCCAACAATGATAGACTGGATTAAGAAAATGTGGCACATATACACCATGGAATACTATGCAGCTATAAAAAATGATGAGTTCATGTCCTTTGTAGGGACATAGATGAAATTGGAAATCATCATTCTCAGTAAACTATCGCAAGGACGAAAAACCAAACACTGCATGTTCCATGTTCTCACTCATAGATGGGAATTGAACAATGAGAACACATGGGCACAGGAAGGGGAACATCACACTCTGGGGACTGTTGTGGGGTGGGGGGAGGGGGGAGGGATAGCATTAGGAGATACATCTAATGCTAAATGACGAGTTAATGGGTGCAGCCCACCAGCATGGCACATGTATACATATGTAACTAACCTGCACATTGTGCACATGTACCCTAAAACTTAAAGTATAATAATAATAATAATAAAAAAGAAAACTGCAAACAATTGCTTCCTTTGAACATAAAAATCAGGACTTCCAGCTTCAGGGGGAAAAAGTGATCATGTTCTTTCTTCTTTGTCTATTACGTGTAATACAGGACTTGCAATGAAAAGTTTATAACATCTCTAAAGGATTTATTGATGTGATGCAAATAACATATATGATCAATTGTCTTTTTGGTTGCCCATTATTTGTTCCAGCATTGAGTGACTGGTTGTGTTTGAGCAGGCTCTGCATTTATCAGGGGCTGCTTTTAGTTTGGGCAATTATAATGTAGTCTGTGCAGGGAAACAAGATTGGGTATTAGCTTCCTCAGTTTATCTTTAAACATCTATGCTCACAGCCTTTCATATCTTTTTGTTTCCTCTCCTCCTCTTTTATTTATATGTCTTTTTATTTTTGTATATGTATGCATGTGTGTGTTTATAAAGCTATAGGCATAGATCTATGCACCAAACCCTTAAGAATATACTATAAAGAAAATTTGTAAACATTTTCAGACCATGAATTCAAATGTACAAAGCACGTAGCTCATGTAATTTTCTACGAATGAACTTAATTTCAAATATAAGGACCCACTTGTCCTACATCTGCGATGCTTTGGGATACCTTCATTTCTTTAAATTCTGAGGAAAGGATTGATGCACGATCATGGCGTTGGGATGGAGAAACACCGTTGCAGAAAAATACAGTTGGTGAAAAGTGAATTTTGCAGCAGATGTAGATTGGTCCGAGAAGAGTCAGCAACTTGTTCACTTTAAAAAATAAATGTATCTACTGCAAATCATGGAACAATTAGAGAAATACTTCTCACTTGAATCTAGTTCTGATTTAATGGTCTGGAAAGGTTCTAAATGTTAGTCTGGAACAGGTCTTGTTAGAAAGTTGGGGATTTAAGCCGGCACGGTGGCTCACGCCTGTAATCCCAGCACTTTGGGAGGCCGAGGTGGATGGATCATGAGGTCAGGAGTTCAAGACCAGCCTGGCCAAGATGGTGAAACCCCCTGTCTACTAAAAAATACAAAAATTAGCTGGGTGCAGTGGCGGGCGCCTGTAATCCCAGCTACTCGGGAGGCTGAGGCAGGAGAATTGCTTGAACCCGGGAGGCAGAGTTTTCAGTGAGCCAAGATCGCGCCACTGCACTCTAGCCTGGGTGACAGCAAGACTCTGCCTCAAAAAAAAAAAAAAAAAAAAGTTGGGGGTTTAAATATTGTTTTTAGAAACTGTTTGGTGCTGTACCACAGGGCTTGCTCTAGAATTACCCCAACATCCTCCATATCTTGTATGCTTTGACTTTAATCTATGGAGGAAATAACCTTTGACTCAATAATTTAGATGAAAGCTTTTTATAGCTTGAAAATATTCTTTAACCTCTTACGAGTGGTGACTTTTCCAGCTGCAAAGATGTCTAAAATGATTGCAAAATGTGGAATTCTTTAACACAGAACCTTTAAAAGAACTTGAACGCACATTTCTCATCTTTATAAAACTGATTTGTTGACAGGGGCAGGAAGATTTAGAGTTTCTAGGACGATGTGGAAATAAGAAATTACACGGGGCTTTCTCAAGGTTATATCAAGAGTGAAGAGAGATGCCATTGTGGTTCTCAGTGGAACTTTTATAGAGCTCCTTTAATAAAGACAAGTGAGCATGAAAACTAAAGCTGCAATACTGTCTTTTCAGAAAATTGAACCAAATACACAATGTCCGTGCTCCTCAGCCAATTTTCAAAATCTTTGTTATTGTTTAAATAATAGCAAATTACTTGAACATAAAAAGGCAAGAAAATTCTGTTATTAATCCTGTAATTCAGGGGCTCAGCAGGAAACACCTGGCACATGCAAATGAAGATAATTGAAAGATAGATTAATAAAGGGACCATCTACAAAGACGTTGACAGATTGTAAAGCAAACCGCACAGGATATTACAGTTACTTAAATCCAACTGTGGTGGGAGTTCTTACCACACCCAGGCATCAGGGCAGGAGGCGGCCAGGAAGGGTGCATGGAGAGGCTCATTGCTGCTGTAAAGTTCCATCAGTTGTAATAATCCAGCAATGAGATGTCTGAAGCACAAATGCATGGATCTTGCTCTCCTACCTTCTCCTGGTTTCCTGCAAGTGATTCCTTTCTAATCTAAAGGCAAAGAAGAGGTAAGCTGATTATGATGCATCTCCACAGAGTAGCCTGCTGGGATTCAAAAGAGAATAAAGAAGGACTGAGGGCAGATATGTGACTGTAAGGACCAAAAAAAAAAAGAAAATATATGTATATGTATTATAGTAAAGCAAAAATATATTAATTTGTACATATGCATTATAACATATTGTTATAAAATACTATTTATAAATAATAAAATTATCTGTCTATCATCTATCATCTATCTCCCCTTAAGGACCCTAAACACCAAAATACCTGGCTCCATCTTAAAAATTAACGACATACCCTATTTGTATTTATGTTGTAGTAATACTTAGGAGTATCTTAATCCTCATATAGAAATTCAGCTACTAATACTACAACAGGTAAAAGAGAGTAGCAAAGTAATGTCTACATTTAGATATGATGCATTTTTCTCTTAATATCTTTCATTTAATGGGATCCAAAGTACACTTACCAGAACAACTAAAGTTACTTTTCTCCTCTATTCAAGAAATTGCTCGAGAACTTTTAGAATCTCTTACTTGTTTCTCATATTAGACTATGGGCTGGGCCACATGGGTTTAGATCCTTAGTATAACTCATTCAGTTTTTTTGGGTCAAGTGTGTGTATTCTTTGAAGGGGAACAGATACCTTCATACAAATTGGCTTACATAAATAAATAAGAAATTCATAATTGAAGTGAAAGATCATTTAAATTCAGAGAGAGCAGGGTATCAAAACAGGAAGGCAGCCAACTCCATTGACGTGAAGCTGTGTTTTTGAGATTGCTTTTAGATGCAAGTTTCAGGATATTCAACTCTTTCTACTTCAACAATAGGCTTTTATCCTAATAGACAGAATATCTGGAATCAGTCAATCTGGAGTTGATTCAATGCCTCAATGGTGTGATCTCATTTTTCTCTTCTGGCATGCTAAGGTTGTCCACTGTATCTTCCCTATTAATAATAGGGAAGATATAGATATTAATAATAGAGAAATAATAGTTTTACCAAATCATTTTCTAGCACATGGCAGGATTGAACTTTCTAGTGCCTTCATGGTCAGGTGGTTCCACATGAGTAATTTGTTCCAGAGAATTCAGAACAGAAGGAACAAACGCCATTTATGGTCAAGACCAGTTAAATGTAAGGTTGAGATCCTCAGAGTTTCCTTCCCATTAGCAAAGCAACAAGCAGCATTCAAAATAACACTACTCTGTTGGCCCATATTTGTGTTTGCCCAAAATAAGCACAAGTTCTAGTTGTCCCACAGTGAATGTAACAGAAAAAAAACACAACCTGGTATGTTGCTTACAATTAGATTAAGTGTAGAATTACTTGAACCTGGGAGGCAGAGGTTGCAGTGAGCTGAAATTGTGCCACTGCACTCCAGCCTGGAGACAGAGCAAGACTCCATTTAAAAAAAAAATTAGATTAGGTGTTATTTGTTACTGCAGCACTGCATAGCTTATTCTGATGAAAGGATGCCTTCAACAGTTTGATCATCACATCTTCACTCAACAGCGTCAAAAATCATGAAAACGATGGGTGACTAGAGACATTTGTCCTCTATCTCTGCATCTTTACACAGAAGAAACAGAAATTCTCTGAGATTCTCTGATCTTCCATAGTAACATATCTAGAAAAATTACAAAGCAAGGTGTTAAAAAATAGCACAGCACATGGAGTAGATTCCAGACATGGGGTTGTCAGATAATACGGTAATTGTATATTTTTATTTTTTGAGGAGTTTCCAAACCATTTTCCATAATGGTCATAGCAATTTACATTCTCAACAACAGTGCACAGGGTTCCCTCACCCCCATTCCCATTCGTTAAATTTTATTTAACCAATATTTGTTATCTCTTGTCTTTTTGATAATAGCCATTCTAGCCAGTGTGAGGTGGTATCTCACTGGGGTTTTGAATTGCATTTCCCTGATGATTAGTGATGTTGATGTTGACTACCTTTGCGTATACCTGTTGTCCATTTATATGTCTTCTGTGAAAATATGTTATTTGGGCCCTTTGTCCCATGCCATTGTTTTTTTTTCTTCATTCTACTCATTGTATTCATATCCTTTGACAAAGCTTTTTAGCTTAATGCAATCCTGTTTGTCTATTTTCACTTTTGTTGCCTTTGTCTGGGGTCTTGCCCAAAAAATTATTGCCCAGACCAATGTCACGAAGCTTTTCCCGTATGTTTTCTTCTAGGAGTTTTATGGCTCCAGATCTTATATTTTAGACTTTAATTCATTCTGAGTTAATTTTTGCATGTGATATAAGATGGAATCCAATTCCTTCCTTTCTTTTTTCCTCTCTTCCTTCCTATTTTCCTCTTTCTTCTTCCTTCCTTCTTTCCTTCCTCCTTTCTTTCTGCAGTATTGCCTTCCTTCCTCTCTTCCCTCCCTTTCTGCCTTCCTTCCTTGCTTCCCTCCCTCCTTTCTTTCCCTCCTCCCTCACTCTCCTTTCCTTCTTTGTTTCCTTCCTTCCCTTCCTTTTCCTTCCTTCCTTTCTCCTTTCGTTTTGCCTTCCTGCCTTGCTTCCTCTCTTCCTTCCCTTTCTGCCTGCCTTCCTTCCTTCCTCCCTCCCTACCTCTCTTGTTCTTTCCTTCCTTCCTTCTTTCTTTCCTTCCTCCCTCCCTCCCTTCCTTCCTTCTTTCTTTCTTATCCAGTTTTCTCACCACTATTTATCAAAGAGATTATTTTTCCCCCATTGTGTATCCATGTCACCCTTGTCAATAATTAGTTCATTCTATATGCTTGGTTTATTTCTGGGTACTCCATTCTGTTCCATTGTTCTATGTATCTGTTTTAATGCCAGTACCACACTGTTATGATTTGTATAGCCTTGTAATATATTATGTTATAAATTACGAAGTGTAATGCCTTTAGATTCATTTTTCTTTCTAAAGATTGCTGTGGCTATTTGGGATATTTTGTGGCTCCATGAAAATTTTAAGATTTTTTTTACTTCTGTAAAAAAAAGCCTGTAATTTTGGTAGGCATCACATTGAGTCTGCAGTTTTGGTAGTATGAACATTTTAACAATATTTTTCATTCCTATCCATGAATGTAGTATGTCTTTTTATTTATTTGTGTCTTCTTCTATTTCTTTCATCAATATCTTACAGTTTTAAGTGTACATATGTTTCAGTTTCTTGATTAAATTTATTCTTAAGCATTTTACTATTTTTGATATTATACATGAAATTATTTTATTTATTTTTGGATAGTTTGTAGTTAGCATCTAGAAATGCAAATAATTTTAGGTATTAATTTTGTATCCTGGTACTTTACTAAATTTGTTTATTACTTGTAACAGTTTTTTAGTGGAATCTTCAGAATTTTCTATGTATAAGATTATGTCATCTGAAACAGAGACAATTTAATTTCTCTATTTTCAATTTGGATGCCTCTTCTCTTCTTTTCCTTTTTATTTTTATTTTTCTTGCCTAATTGCTCTGGCCAAAACTTCCAGGACTATGTTTTGAAGTTCTTAAATGGGGATGATTTTGCCCCGGGATCATTTACAATGTCTGGAGGCATCTTTGATAGTCATGACTAAGGGTATGCTATGAACATCTAGTGAATAGAGGGCAGGGATAATGCTAAACATCTTATGATTCACAGAAGAGCCTCTGACACCACAAAAAGCATCTGGTCCAAAATACCTACAGTGTTGAGGTTGAGAGGCCCTAACGTAGTTAATCTTTCCTAACCCTTGTACAATTTATAGATGGCCAGGTCAGTGTGAAAGGAAAAGCAATACCTAAACATGGTCCTGTGCTTATTGTGGTGACACCTCAGTGTCAACTCTCTAGACAGCACAAGCATCTACCCAGACCCAGGAATGTTCCTTCTTCTTTGTTTTATATAGATAAGTAACTATGCTCATTGGAATTCTGGGTATCAATCGTGTTGAAGCAAGGAAAATGCAGGCCAGATATTTCACTCTCTAGTCTGTTAGTAAGAACCTCACAATAGACTTGGCATTTTCATCAAGAAAAAAATCTTCTCAAACAGATAAAATAAAATCATGAAGAATAGAAGAGTCACTGGCATTATTAATGACAAGAGCAAGTAAGCCTTATTTGAGCATAAATAGGAGGATAACCATGAATAAGAAGAGAAACACCTGATGAGATTTATTTATCACAAGAAATAAGTAGCACAATTTTTTCTAAGGGGGATAAAAATTATCTTATATTAACTTTCATTTGATTTTTAAACCATTTCTCCCCATCTGCTGATGGAAGTATTTCACATTTCTCTTAGAAAGTTAATATTTTCTTACCTGGGAGCTTTTATAATTTAATAATTGTAATTGTCAGCAATGCAAGTGTATTATTTACAGTAACTGGGTCTTTTTAGAATTGCATCAATATAGTTTGATATTCTCAACTGACACTATTTTAATAAAATTATTTTGATAATTTAGTACCTTCTAATTACTTTTCTGGTACATGAATAATAATAACAGCAGCTTGAATTCCACGTCCAGTTTGCCCCAGTGACATGTCCACTCAGTTTTACGTATTTGCATGACTCATCCTGTCCAGTACTAAATTACATCTAAAATCAAGACAATGGAAGCAATAGGCCAAAGGACAAATAAGATTCCTTAAACAACCTTGTTAGTAATCCCTTATGAATATTCCCTAATCTGCTTCCCCATCATCAAAAGGAATGGGGAGAGATAAGTTTTTTACAGTGGGGTTGGGATGGTGAAATCAGTCATCTGATACTGAGGATTAAAGGATGGAACTTCTTGTGTATGCTGTGGGTATCAGGAAAGCTTAATAAAAACAGAGGTGGTTTCTTGTGTGCCCATGAACTGTGGCCCTTTTGATATGGGAAGGGGACAGGGAAGTGCTAGGTAGAGAAGGGTCCCTGATGAGGGCTCTGCCCTGGGGCCTATGACCATGGACCTTAATAAGGACAAGTTTTTCTGTTTTCATGCCCAAAATGTTGCATTTTGGCCCACCATGCCCCCATCCTGTGCCCCATAAAAACCCAGGACCGTAGCAGGCACACACACAAGCAACTGGACATCAACAGAAACAGACAAACACACCAGCAGACACCAGCCGACTCCGGCAGACACCAGCAGACACCAGCAATGGCAGAATGACACGGAGGCTGGGGGGAATTTGGCTGGGGGCGGTTGGAAGACAGTCCAGCCTCTCGGTGGCCCAACTCCAGGGGAAGTC
Source organism: Homo sapiens (assembly GCF_000001405.40). Lineage (NCBI taxonomy): Eukaryota > Metazoa > Chordata > Mammalia > Primates > Hominidae > Homo > Homo sapiens. Next base: position 126,961,276 of record NC_000012.12, on the reverse strand, counting down.
CACCTTCTGGCTCCACTCCATCTCCCTTCTGGCTCCCCATCCATCTCACTGAGAGCTACTTCCTCCACTCAGTAAAACCTTGCACTCATTCTCCAAGCCCACAGTGATCTGATTTTTCTGGTACACTAGGGCAAGAACCTGGGATACGAAAAGGCTTCTGTCGTCAAGATAAGGCAGAGGGTCTAACTGAGCTGATTAACAGAGCCATTTTGCAGACAGCAAAGCTGAAAGAGCGCACTGTAACACACACCCACCGGGGCTTCTGGAGCTGTAAACACTCAACCCTAGACGTTGCCATGGGGTGGGAGCCCAGAAACGCTGCCCAGGACCTGCCCATCTGCATGCTCCCCCAGGGGTTTGAGCAGCGGGTCACTGAAGAAGTGAGCCACACCCCTGTTGCATGTCCTGCAAGCAGAATAAGAGAACTTCTCTGGTTTCACTTTGGCATGTGGCAGCATAGCAAACTGTGTAAGGGATGTTAAATTGAAATGTACTCTTATCCCCTGGTGATTTGGGCCAGAAGGATGGCAACCCTATTTTCAAAGATTGTTGGTTCAGAAATGCATTCAAGTTGTGTTCCCTCTCTCTAGCAGTAACTCTTGAATTATTTTCTGTACTCTGTACAAAGACAACCTCTGCCCCTCATTTGTTATCTTCTAGAATGCAAATGAGCCTTTTTTCCTTCATCCCAATTAATTTAGCTCGAGGCACTTATATTTTAATTGAAGTGGCAGTTTTCATAAATATTCATCAATCACAAATAAATTTTTAGGGTCAGCAGGCCATGTGCCAGGAAGGAAGTACATGGATGTTTTCCTTCCCCTGGAGCAAGTCCACAGTCATGAATGCATAAGCAGCCCTCCCTGCTTATTTAAATTCATAAGAATTTACTGAAGGCCAAGAGGTGTGAGGTGTGTGAGTGGGGCCTGGGAATACAGAAACGAGCATAGCATCGTTCTATGTGCACATCTCTTTATATATCTACTCCTCTATGTGTGACCCATCTTCACCTATAATCATACTTTTATTTTGACATAATTTTAAGAAAAAAACCATAAATGTATACAGTTATTAATAAAGTGCCAGAGGAAAAGCAGAAGGTTCAGGGATTTAAAAGGGCTTTAGAAATATACAAGACACAATGCAAACTGTGTTCTCTTATGGATGGCAGAATTTTGGTTATCTTCTTTTTTTAATTCATCTATTGTGTCAGTCAGGATATGCTAGGTTGTGCTGTAGAAATCAATACCTTAAGATATCAATGGCTGCTTTCAGAATGTTGAATTCTTTCTCATTCTGGTTTTCCATTCATTGTAAGTTGGCTGTGGTTCGCTCTACATCTTCTCATTGGGACACAGCTGATGAAGTGTCACCTGTCTAGAACCTTGCCGGTCATCCTAGCAGTGGGAAAGAGAACTTGGCATACACATGCTGGCCACTAAAACTTCTTCATGCAAGTGGCACATGACATTTAGGCTCATGTTACGTTGCCCAAGGCAAGTCATATGTTCAGTCATTGCTGAGTTCAGAAGTGTGTGATCTTTTCACAGGTAGTGGCAACACAAGGAGGAGTATAAAATATACATGAAAGCTGTATAATTATTGACATAGGTGTAGGGAAAAGAAAGAGAGATCAGACTGTTACTGTGTCTATATAGAAAGGGAAGACATAAGAAACTCCATTTTGACCTGTACCCTGAACAATTGCTTTGCCCTGAGATGCTGTTAATCTGTAACTTTGCCCCAACCTTCTATACAACATGTGTTGTATAGAAAAAAGGCTTAAGGAATCTAGGGCTGTGCAGGATGTGCCTTGGTAACAAAATGTTTACAGGCAGTGTGCTTGGTAAAAGCCATCGCCATTCTCCAGTCTCAATAAACCAGGAGCACAATGCACTGTGGAAAGCCGCAGGGACCTCTGCCCTGGAAAGCCGGATATTGTCCAAGGTTTCTCCCCATGTGATAGTCTGAAATATGGCCTCATGGGATGGGAAAGACCTGACCGTCCCCCAGCTCAACACCCGTGAAGGGTCTATGCTGAGGAGGATTAGTAAAAGAGGAAGGCCTCTTGCAGTTGAGATAGAGGAAGGCCACTGTCTCCTGCCTGCCCCTGGGAACTGAATGTCTCGATATAAAACCTGATTGTACATTTGTTCAAGGTTGAGATAGGAGAAAAGCTGCCTTGTGGCGGGAGGCGAGACATGTTGGCAGCAATGCTGCTCTGTTACTCTTTGCTCCACTGAGATGTTTGGGTGGAGAAAAGCAGAAATCTGTCCTACGTGCACAGCCAGGCATAGTACTTTCCCTTGAACTTATTTGTGACACAGATTCCTTTGCTCACAAGTTTTCTTGCTTACCTTCTCCCCACTACACTGCTCTCCTGCCGCATTCCTCTTGCTGAAATAGTGAAAATAGTAATTAATAAATATTAAGAGAACTCAGAGACCAGTGCCAGTGCAGGTCCTCCGTATGCTGAGCGCCGGTCCCCTGGGCCCGCTTTTCTTTCTCTATACTTTGTCTCTGTGTCTTATTTCTTTTCTCAGTCTCTCGTCTGGACTGACGAGAAATACCCACAGGTGTGGACGGGCTGGCCCCCTTCCATAGGAATTATCTACTTTCCTGATGAAATATGGATGTTCTCATGCATTATAAGAAAATTCCATGAAACTCAACATCATAAATAGAACACACACAAGCCTTATAGCTCCTTTGAGAAGAGGCTACACCCCATTTCTGTCTTCTGATTCCAGTGCCCAGCAGAGGGTTTTGCATGAAATAGAGAAATAAAGCTCTGTTAAAAGAAAGAAAACGTTGACGTTAATGAAAATGTTAATGACAAACTCAAATGTATCCTAATGGAAGAGATTCTGCACATATAAGTTTCAAATGAAACACTTCTTTATTCTGGGATGAAAGATCCAAGTTGATAGCTTTATTTTCTACAAGAGCAATTATGGAACAGGGCAGTTTTTTTTTTTCTCCGTGAACCTCCTATAGAATCAGCTGCCAGTTTGTCCACCTCTGGGACCTCTGTAGACAATCAAATAGAGAGAAATCAAAGTCAAACCAGATGGTGTTTATGGCCCACCCACTCGAGTCCCTTGGCCTTGGACATTGGTGAGGATTAGGGCCTCACCTGGTCTCATTTCTGGACTCACTGAAAAGTCCATATTGAAACCATTTCCAGCTTCTTTATTCCCCTTAAAAAGTATTCCTCAGTCACTCAAATGGGATCATCAAGCAGGATACACTTGCAACAGCTGATTAAAATAAACTGGGTATTTAGTGAGAGTTAGCTGTTCCATTGTTTATAATCTGGGGAAACTCAGTTTCTTCTTTGATCTGGAATGAAACCAAAAGGAAAAAAATAAGATCCAAACAGTAGTTCAGGAAGAAACCTGAATTTCACCCATGGCACTAGCTTCAAAGGTGCAGTGAAATGTAAAACAGGAGTGAGATTTTGCAGTCTGGGTTCAGATTTTCTCTGGATGGATACAAATATAAATCAATATCGTTTACTGATAAATTCTAGCCACTTAATTTGTTCCAGTGGGTGATAAACATCCCTAGGGTTAGGGTTCTGTGCTATCAACTGAGCTACCAGGAAAAATAATAGTTATTTAAATGTTAGGGATGTTCAACAATGGAGAGTTTAATTGTGGCCAATGAAGCAAAGTCTGAAATGTTGATTACTTGTTTAGAAAAAAATTTAAGAATTATGGATATATGTGTTATTATGACAAAGAATGATACCTACATATAGTTGGCTTTAATAAACAGATAGGAATCTTTAAGACTGGGGTATTACATGTTATAAGAGGTTGCAGTGCATTCGTCTACCTGTCTTTAACATACTGCCTGTAATATTTAGAGTGAAGGTATTTTTTCTCCCCAAGAAAGTGAAGGTCCACTTTTGCTAAACAGATACAGAAGACAAATATGTGGTTAATAATTAAAGAGATAATTAATCATATTGTAATTTTCCAAGTACTTTTTCCTATTGACTAAAGAATGAATAGAATATTATTTATAGAGAGAGGAAAAAGGGGAGGGGTGAGTGATGAGGGATGAAAAATACCAGAAAAATGGTGAAAAACTATACAAAATGCAATAAAATGACTTCTAGTCATCAAGTCTTCAGTAAGGCCAATGAAAGCCATGATGTGGTTTGTATCAGTTAGCTATTGCCATAATAATGCTGTATAACAAACAACCTCAGCATTCAATAAACTGTGAACAATGATTATGTATTATTATTCATCATAATTAAATATTATTATTTAATTTGTTATTACTTGTAATCACAAGAATATGAGTTAACTGGGACGTTTTTCTTACTGGGGTTAGCTAAGTGTTTCTCACCTTAATGTCTTTTGTGCTTTTTTCTTTTTTTCTAATTTTGTCTGTGGCTTTCCCACCTGCCTGGCTCACTGTGGGCTAATTTAGGATGAATTCTGTTGGAAAGATGGGCTGTTCTCCATGTGGTCTCTCATCCTAAGCAGGCCAGCCAAGGCATATTCTCTTGCTGAGGCAGATGTTCAAGAAGGAAAACAGAAGCACACAAAGCCTTTGGAAGCTGGACTCACAAGTGGCACATTGGTATGACTACCGCCTTGACTAGTCATAAGGCCACACTTGATTCAAGATTGAAGGAGTTGGAAAATATTCATGTGTTGAGTGCTACCTGAAGGGAGGAGTGTGACTTCCACTGTCCTGTTCTTAGGGCTGCCTTGCAGCTTTCAGCAAATAGAGAGGGAGGGCCATCTTCAAACACTGAGGTGCAGGTGCTACTAGCTGGAAGTTGGTAGAAGCAATGTAAGTGGTGAATGGTTGTTATACCAGCCGTGTCTGCTACATCTACTATTCTCTCTTCCTCAAGACTTCTTTTTACTTCCTTTACTGGATCTACTTCCTATGGACTTTAGGCTTCAGCTTAGACATAAATTTCTAAAGAAGTCTTCTCTAACCTCAGACATCTTGACTTACATCCCTGATGCAATGTCTCAGGATTGCTTGTACATCTTATGATAATATTCACCACTCTATTGTTGAATTGCATTCCCACCCAGATGTAAGGTGCATGAACACTGGGGTTCTGCCTATGTTTTTAACCACTGAGTTCCACAGTGCCTAACACATGGCACATATTCAATAAATAGTATGTATTCTGAACAGAATTTTGTATTTTTTGAGACCGAGTCTCACTCTGTTGCCCAAGCTGGAGTGCAGTGGCGTGATCTTGGCTCACTGCAAGCTCCACCTCGCGGGTTCACGCCATTCTCCTGCCTCAGCCTCCCGAGTAGCTGGGACTACAGGCGCCCACCACCACGCCTGGCTAAGTTTTTGTATTTTTAGTACAGATGGGGTTTCACCATGTTAATCAGGATAGTCTCGATCTCCTGACCTCATGATCCACCTGCCTCAGCCTCCCAGACTGCTGGGATTACAGGCGTGAACCACCACACCTGGCCTTCTGAACAGAATTTAACCATGCCTTTGAACGCACATTTAAGCCTGATTTTATGATAAGCCTGAGTTAAATTTCCCATGAGACCCTGAATAAAGAGTCCACTTCTTCTCAGCGTGACAAGGCATTTGACACACATGAATTTTGTAAAGAGTATCTGCCGCTTGTCAGGTACAAAAATCACTTTCTGGGACATTCAAATGGCAAGTGTGGAGCAGGCAAGGAAATGAAGCCATAATAAGATAGAGTTTCTCAGCTGAGTAATTGGGTTTCTAAACACATGCATATTTTATGTCTCCTTGTATTAAATCATTCATGGAAAATATGTTTCTGTTAAATAAAATAGTATATGACAACAATCAGTGGACACGTAATGATTTTCTCTTTCACACTTGGTTAGGTAAAAAGTTTCCCATAATGTGCTGCCAAGGATAAGTGATTACTGTTATTAGGAACGAGATTGTGTGAGAACTTGGTGCGTGATGCTGCTTTGGAATAATCCTGACACAAACTCCAGGGTTGAAATAAGTCATGCAGATCAGCCTCAGACCCTGAACCTAAACAAGCTGATTACAGGTACTCTTAACTGTTGCCCCAACCCTAATTTAGTTAAAAGCCCTGCTGAGAAGTTTACGAAGCTCTTAAGCAACACATTGCTCTCCTTCAACTAGGTGACCTGGCCTGCTTTCTGATTTTACCTTCTGCTATCGTCCGTACACACACACCCTCTCCATGCCTAAAAATATTACCCAGGTGCAAAAGCAAACCTATTCCTGCATCAGACAGTTGACCTCGGTGCAGGGTTGGTTCTTAAGCCGAGTCGGTTGCCACCACTTTGGGATGAAGATTAAAATGAAAGCAGACATTCTCATTTGAAACCGTCATCAGAAACCTGGATACCAAATCTATCAACTTTTAAATTATGATGACATGACGTGAGAATTTCTTGTTCCTAGTGGTCCTCCTGAATTCCAACTGTCACTCCAACTCCTATTCCAGTTGGCCAGTTTTATGTGTCCAATTGGCTGAGCTATTGTCTTAGTTTGGCTGCTATAAAAATTATCATAGACTGTGTGGTTTCTAAACAATGCAAGTTTATTTCACACAGTTCTGGAGGCTGGAAATCCAATATCAGGGTGCCAGCATGGCCAGGTTCTAATAAGCACCCTATTCTAAATTGTGCTGCTGACTTCTCCTGGGATTGTAACATGGTGAAAAGAGAGCTAGTTAGATCTCTGGCCTCTTCTTGCAAGAGATCTAATCTCATGAATGAAGGCTCCATCCTTGTGATCTAATTACCTCCCAAAGCCGCCACCTCCAACAAATATCACATTGGGATTAGGATTTCAACATATGAATTTGGGGGTAAACACATTTAGTCCATATATGGTCCCTGTCATTCAAATGTTAACCTTGCTTTTGCTGCCAAGGTATATTTTACATGTGATGAAGGTCTACAACTAGTGGATTTGAAGTACAGAAGGTTACCCTGGACAATCTGAGTGGGCTCAATCAGTTGAAAGGTCTTAAGATCAAAACTCAAGTTACCCTGAAGAAGGATTTCTGCCTGTGCCTGTGGACAGTTCCTGCCTAAGAGCTGCCAGTCTGCCCTTCCTAATAGTCTCTCTACAGATTTTGACTTTCCTAGTCCCCGTAATTGTATAAGTTAGTTCTTTGCAATATATAAATCTATCTATCTATCTATCTATCTACCTATCAACCATGAATCATGTATCTTATGAATTCTATTTCTTTCTCTGACTGATATAAAACCTTAACCAGAAAGGGATCTCGACCCTGAACCCAAGAGAGAGTTCTTGGATCTTGTGTAAGAAAGAATTCAAGGAAATCCATAAAGTAAAAGCAAGTTTATTAAGAAAGTAAAGGAATAAAAGAATTACTATTCCATAGACATGCCACTGCTTGCCTAGTTTTATGGTTATTTCTTGATAATACGCTAAACAAGAGGTGGATTATTCATTAGTTTTCCCGGAAAGGGGAGGGCAATTCCTGGAACTGAGGGTTCTTCCCCTTCTTTGACCATATAGCGTAACTTCCTGACATTGCCATGGCAGTTGTAAACTGTCATGGCGCTGGTGGGAGTGTAGCAATGAGGACAACCAGAAGTCACTCTCGTCGCGATCTTGGTTTTGGTGGGTTTCAGCTGGCTTGTTTACTGCAAACTGTTTTATCAGCCAGGTCCTTATGACCTGTGTTTTGTGCCAACTTCCTATCTCACCTTGTGACTTGGAATGCCTAACATCCTGGGAATGCAGCCCAGTAGGTCACAGCATTATTTTACCAAGCCCTTATTCAAGATGGAGTTGCTCTGGTTCAAGTGCCTCTGACAAAATCATCTTTGCAAAATTATGACAGTAAGAGAAATCTAACATTACTAACTTCATCTTGCTTCTAACCTGACAGGCTGGCTGTCTTTTCTCATTTCTGGGCATGGGCCAAGCTAATTTTGGGAGAAATTTAGTTTATAGTTTAAATTATAATAGGCCTTCTAAAAAAACTAAACTGCTCCTATAAAACTAATGGACAGCCACCAAGTTATGACGGCGAGAGGGGCTTGAATTCTAAATAATTACCAGCCATTACTCTGGAGGTCATAAGATTTGCAACTTTCCCAGTTACTCTTGGAGATAACATCACTATTGTAGAACCTAAGATGGGCCATTTGAAATGTCTTTTCAGGTTTTTGTATTCCTAACAACTGGATAGCCTGGAACTGTAACTCTTCCAGTCCTGTGGCCCTTCACCCAGAAGCAGACTCAGTACATGAGGACCATTTTCCACACTCCTATGATTACATCCCCAACCTATCAGCATGGCACCTACCCTAACCTCTGAGCCTTTGGGGAGAATGATTTTGAGGGAGAAAAAAAGGAAAAATCGGTTAGGTAGTCACCTAAGGCTAGTCCTCAGAGAAGCAGGCTGGCTGAAAAATCACAGCTACAGCAAAAATACAGCAGCCTGGGGAAAACTCAGGCTGCATCTGCAGAGATAAGCAGGCAGGGTCTAGCACAGAAGCCTTTTGTTCCCTATGGGATGAATGGGCTCCCAGGAAAAAGTTTCCTCCCCATTTCAGGCATATACATGATGGGTTCTGTGGGAATTTGCACAGAGAAGAGGGGGACTTACCTAAAACAAACCCACAGCTATGCAGACAAGAGAGGCTGTGCTTCGTGCTTGCCTAGAGACATACCCACAACTACATAGATAAGGGGGAGTTATGCAGACAACTTTACAGATAAGTTACTCAAATAGCTACAGAGATGAGAGGAGTTTCTTATAAAAACTTTTGAATTCAACTGTAAAAACAGCAACCTACTTGGGCTCCCCTCTATGCTGTGGAGAGCTTTCTTTCTTCACTTATTAAACTTTTACTCCAGCCTCACCCTTTGTGCCCACGCTCCTTAATTCTCTTGGCCATGAGACGACAAGCTCAGATAACACCTTAGACAACAAGACCAGTGACCCTTGACCTATCTCATTTAGATTAATCACTTTGTCTCCCAGGTGGCACAGCCAGCCTCGTGTCAAACTCTTTCTTTCCTGCCGTGCCGTGGTCTCAGTGAGTTGATTTTGTTTGTGCGGCTGGCAGGAAGAACCCATTCAGTGGTTACAGATACAGAATCTTCTTTGGCCCAGTCTACTGTAAAATGGCCCAGGAAAGATGATTGTGCAAAGGTTTTTAATGTGCTTGTCAGTATAGATATAGATTTAAATATGAATATAGATATGAGCATACCCATAGATCTGTCTCCTCAATGTCTGTCTATCAATCAACCATCTATCTATCATCTATCTATCTATCCATCTATCATCAATCTATCATCTTTGTCCTTGTTATGCTGGTGCCCTAAGCACAAATTTAGGCTGCCTATGGGATGGTCAATTGTCTTTCACTCACCTCCACACTGGCATTCTTCTATGAAAAAAACCTTGACTATTGTTTGCACAGTCATTATGTAGCATGCTTTATTCCTTTTACTGACTTAGAATTTTGATTTTTATCATGAAATTATTTATTTATTCTTTAAAATTTTTCTTCTCATTATTCCATACCAACTTCCCAACAAGCTTATGCTTGTACTTGCAGTTTTGTTATTTTTAAAAATGCATCTCTTACATTTTATTGTTTATAAATATAGAGACAGGGCCTCACTCTGTTACCCAGGTTGGAGTGTGTCACATGATCACAGCTCACTGCAATCTGGAACTCCTAGGCTCCAGTGATCCTCCCACCTCAGCTTCCTAAGTAGCTGGGACCACAGATGTGTGTTATTCCCTACTAATTTTTTACATTTTTTACATTTTTATTTTTTCGTAGAGGTCAGGTGTCACTATGTTGCCCGACCTGGTCTTGAGCTCCTCACCTCAAACAACCCTTCTGCCTTGGCCTCAAAAAATGCTGGAATTATAGGCATGAACACTGAGTCCAGGCATCTTTTAAAATATTTTTTATATTTTATTATATTACAAATGCATCATTTTGAATATTGTGTGCTACAATTGTAAGCCTAAATTCATCATTAATTTTTAAAACGTGGCAGTGATAATTTCACAATTTAATAAAAAATCAAAGTCCCAGCATTGAGTTTGTTTCCATGAGCACCTGCTGGCTTTAGATCCATTGGAGGCCACTGTGCAGCCCAGGTGAGTGGGCTGAGCAAGAGCTGTGACTTGCTCAGTGTTTACATTTCTGGAGATGATGGCTGCTTGCCCTTTCTCTATGGCCCTCCCTTTCCCCACCACATCCCACCCTCTCTCTCTGTGCACCTCCTTTGGGCTCTGCTTGTTCCCCACAGTCCATAGGCTCAGAAGATGAACAGAACTCACACGCCCCCTGAAGTGTGCCCAGCCTGCAGCACACAAGCAAAAAGCATGTGCAGTGTTGATGCAGGACTTGGCTATCAGGCCTGCCTGGCTGGACCAATGTCAGCCCTGAAATTCCTGGATTCCCAGGGATGGGAGAAGGAGCCTGAAACAGTCATCCAGAGAGATCCATCATCCTAATGGGAGACTATGGTGAGAGACCCTTAGAGAACAAAAGGGGTTGTCTACACAGACTCAAGAAAGAAGACCTACAAAGACTCAGAAAAGGGGCCCTCATCTGTGACAACCAAAAAATTCTCCAGACGTTGCTAAACGTCCCCTTCAGAACATGGTCAACCCTAGTGGAGAATCACTTCTCAACGTCTGGGAAACACACGTCAAGGCCAGGCATAGGACTCAGTACTTAATCGGTTTTCTGTAAAGTCAGTCTTTTCCCTCCCTCCTTCACAGGGCCCCACTGTGCAACTCCTCTCCCTGGAGTATTGGTCCATGCTCTTTCTCAAGCCCCACGTGACCCAGCTGCACCTGTGAACACCAGCTGTGGGCACCAGCTGTGTGGTCTTGTCTCCTGGGCTCTGCAGTGCAAATGGTCCCCCCTCTGTCAGATTTACATCCCTGGTGCCAGCCTGGGAATCCTCCTTCTTCATGAAATTGCTGTGAGTGTTTCACCCAGGATGTTAACTAAGCTGGGTAGAGGGAGAGCAACGTAAACTTTGTTTAACTTTCCCTGTGGCTTATTGGTAAAAGTTCAGCTCTGGAGCAAAAATCACTTCTAAGGACGGATAGAGTTTATTTCACAAACTTCTAGAAATTGCCAAAACTGTTTCACATCCCTTTCGAGTTGGACTGGGGGCTAACAGAACCTTAACAGGAAAAATCCATGAATGTTATCCTTAAAATAATGCTCCACATGCCATTAAAACCCATCTTGCTACAAATGCAGACTATTTTTAAGGGTATCTCAATGTTTAAAATAACCTTAAAATAAGGTTTTTAAGAATGAAAAACAAAAAAAGAAAATGAGATGCCGCCCATCAGTGGCAAAAACTTAAGGTCTGGCTGTGGCTCTGAGATGTTAACACACTTGTCTCCTGGGACCACTGATGGTAATAACTTTGGTTTCAGTCTCTTCCAGTATCTCTCAGTGTATCCCACATTTGAATCACCAGAAAAGACACAGGAAGAGGCACCACCCCCACCCACACACACATATTCAAATTGTTGAGATGCTGGAAGAATAACCTATTGGCTAAACTGAAACTAGGATAAATTAGCAAACAGAGGGGTGTGAGGAGTTCCAAAACCAAAAACAGTCATTTAAGAGCATCTGCAAAGAGATACATTAACATGTGTCCTTCACTCTAAAATAGCACCAAAATTCAGAGATTCCAGTGTCCAGAATTGGAACTTATAATTACAAGTTAATGTATCATCATCTTAGCTGAGTATAGAGGTTTTAAGGACAAGTGTGAGAGCTGGTTAGACATGGGTTTATCTGCTCGTACATCACAGTGATGCTTGAGTTTGAAGATCTTACAGACAGCAGCCACATTTATTTTTCACTGCCTCTAGGAAAATGCATGGCAGAGGAGATTATATGATAGGTAAACTTACTACCAAAAAAATTCACTGTGACTAGCTGGCATGTTGGTCTGTATTCTAAGCTCTAAAAACTGCAAGATCTCAAAAACTGAATTGTACACCCCACACTGTTAAAAAGTAAAAGGAGCTTTGAACATAGACTTTGTAGATCTTTGTTTGAAATGTCTGCTGTTTCTGTTGAATCTGAAGCCATTGGCTGCCTTCCTTATCCAGTCTTAGTAGCTAGGATAGCTGTGAAGAATGATAGTCTGATTGTCAAAAATGCCTTATCTTTCTGTGTTCTTGTACACTGTTTTAGTTAACAGAATGAACAGCAGTGTCAAAGTGGAAATGGTGTTTCCTTTAACCTAAAGGAAAATGTGATGAGCACAATTCAGAATACAAGTAGCATAAGTAGACCTTTATGTGTTGGTATAGAACAATATTTAAGATTTACTGGATTTCTTTTTTTTTTTTCTTGAGATGGAGTCTCACTCTGTCGCTAGTGCAACTGTGAGATCTCAGCTCACTGCAACCTCCGCCTCCTGGGTTCAAGCGATTCTCCTGCCTCAGCCTCCCGAGTAGCTGGGATTACAGGCACCCGCCATCATGCCCGGCTAATTTTTATGTATTTTTTGTAGAGATGGGGTTTCGCCGTGTTGGCGGGGCTGGTCTTGAACTCCTGCCCTCAGGTGATCCGCTCCCCGCTTGGCCTCCCAAAGTGCCGGGATTACAGGCGTGAGCCACTGCACCTGGCCAAGATTTACTGTTACAGAATTCAAGAAATTGAAACATAGGTGACATGTATACATAAATACAGGCGTATATTCACATGACGTTGCTGAAATGATACACACGCTCTCATGCACACAAACACACACAGACAACTTGTAACTGAACAGCAGATTAGTTACCACATGGAGTCCAATTAACAAGAGCAAGATCTGGTTTAAAGAAAGTGACTTATTCTGAGCCAGCTTAGGGGAAGAGGCACAGATGTCCTGCCTTTAAATGTGCTGTTTTGCTTTTGGAGCAGAAAGTGGGCACTTTTAAAAGGTTTTGCAGAGGAGGAAGCAAACAAAGTGGGGGTCTGAATGTCAGTTCCGGTGCAGTGCCTTAAGTTAACATGGCTGCTAACCTACATGTTAATTTAATAAATTCATCTAACTTTTAAGGAGTGAGATGAACTTGCCCTGTAGGAAGTGTCTAGCGAAGTGGGTGGAGGTGGGCATAAAGGCTGTATTTGGCCTAGTGTGATGGCTCATAGCTGCAATCCCAGCACTTCTGGAGGCTGAGGCAAGCAGATTGCTTGAGCCCAGGAGTTGGAGACCAGCGTGGGGAACATAGCAAGACTCCATCTCTACAAAAATCACACAAATTAGCCGGGTGTGTTGGTGCAGGCCTGCGGTCCCAGCTACTCAGGAAGCTGAAGCAGAAGGATCGCTTGAGCCCAGGAGGTCAAGGTTGCAGTAAGATGAGATTCGAACACTACACTTCACTCTGGGTGATAGACTGAGACCATCTCAAAGAAAAAAAAAAGGCTATATTTGCGTTTCTAAAGGGGTAAGTAAGAATGGAGAACTGGAGCAACAAGAAAAGAAGAAAGGTAAAAACATATTTAAGCAATCTGTTAGAAAAAATGGGGATACTCAGTTACAAACTTAGTTGAGAGAAAAGGAAGAAGGAAGCTGGGAGGCTGAGAGATGGAGCACGAAGGAAACTTACTTTCTCACTGTGTACCTCTTTATTCTGACAGAAATATTTGTACTATTAATTGAAAAGGAATTCACTGGAAAACTACAGTTAGAAATCGCCATTGATTTCTTTTTTTTTCTTTCTTTATTATTATTATTCTTTAAGTTTTAGGGTACATGTACACAATTTGCAGGTTAGTTACATATGTATACATGTGCCATGCTGGTGTGCTGCACCCATTAACTCGTCATCTAGCATTAGGTATATCTCCCAATGCTATCCCTCCCCCCTCCCCCTACCCCACAACAGTCCCCAGAGTGTGATGTTCCCCTTCCTGTGTCCATGTGTTCTCATTGTTCAATTCCCACCTATGAGTGAGAATATGCGGTGTTTGGTTTTTTGTTCTTGCGATAGTTTACTGAGAATGATGATTTCCAATTTCATCCATGTCCCTACAAAGGACATGAACTCATCATTTTTTCTGGCTGCATAGTATTCCATGGTGTCGTTGATTTCTTTCAGTATATCATCCTCAACATTTGTGATTCCAGACATTGCAACTTTACTGAGAGACAGGCATTGTGCTAAGTGCTTTAAATACGTCACTTTCTCCTCACGACCACCCACGAGGAAGGTAATGTTAAACAGCCTAGTATTACAGATTAAAATAATGAGCCACAGAGAGTTAAGTTCCTTGTTCAAGGCACACGCCTGATTAATTGTGCCTCAGATCCAGTTGTGTTTGTGTGCCAAGTCTAGAGCTTAATCACGACCCTGTTTCCTCTGTAGTTCAGAAAGAGTAGGAACTCAAGTATCATGGATTGATCACTTATGTCTTATTTGATCAACCTTCTTATGTGCTGAAATTTATACCAAAGAAAATTACCTGTTAGTATAAGGTAATTTGGAAGAGGAAAATGTTAATCAGAACTTATGGGTCTTAGAATGACTTCAGTTTGTAGTATTCTTAATTTTAATAATAAAAAAGACATTCTAATTTCACTCCCAAATTACTGAAATACTTTTTACATGTTGTTATATTATTTGGCAGCAACTGCACTGCAGAGCGCTCTATTACTTGATCTCTAGGCTTGCTATTGAATTCTTGGTGGCCATTGGCACAGTTGCATAGTTGCAAATTTCACTAATAATGTCCATATTGGAAATGTGACATGCTTCCCGAATATGTGGTTTGATGAAGCTAAACTGTATTGATTTAATATTAGATAAGCATTTGATAGGCTCTTAATGTTTGCCAGCTGCTGAAAACACTGTTTTTTTGTTTTTTGGTTTTTTTTTTTTTTAGACGGAGTTTCATTCTTATTGCCCAGGCTGGAGTGAAATGGTGCGATCTCGGCTCACCTCAACCTCTGCCTCCTGGGTTCAAGCGATTCTCGTGATTCTCCTGCCTCAGCCTTCTCAAGTAGCTGGGATTACAGGCATGCGCCACCACACCCGGCTAATTTTGTATTTTTAGTAGAGACAGGGTTTCTCCATGTTGGTCAGGCTGGTCTCGAACTCCCGACCTCAGGTGTTCCACCCGCCTGGGCCTACCAATAAGAAAGAAATCATGTCATGGAGCTTTGAGTTTCTCTGGAGCCTTGAGTCAATCTGATCAGAGCTCGTATAAAATTCTTCTTAAGTCATTTGGTTTAAGGACAATAGTAAGTAGGATTTTTGCAAGAAAGTACCTGGAAAAAATAATTCGTGAAGTGGTGGGAAATATCCCCCACATAGCCTGTTATTCATAAATAGGAGCATTATAAGCTTCTTAAATAAGATAAAATTAATTTAGAATTATATTTTTAGAGAAATATAATGGGTTTGACTCATCTACCTTTATAATGAAAAACAAAGAACATAAAACTATTCAAAATCAGAATGATTAATAACTTAATATTTTATTTTAGTTCCATATTGTGATTGATTAAGAGAGAAAAAGAAGATAGAAGAGAAAACATGAAATACAAGAGAATGGAACTATTTTTGCAGAATTAGCATGGGTCAGGGAAGCTGAGAATCCATTCTGGATTTTCTCATGAGAGATCTTGGTAGAATAGTTCTAGTTACACAGCAGCAATATCGAGCTAATGGTCCCTGTGTTCTCTTCTTAAGACATGTGTCACATAGAACCAGGAAGGAGGAATATAAAGAAAGATAAACCTGGAGAGAATAGTCAGACAAAGAAATTTGGGATCTCTGGTTTTATGAAAATTAAAGCCCATTTTTCACCTGTCAAGGTACTTAACATAAAGATTTTTGACCAAATACACTTCCACTCATATACTTAGGTAGTAAGGCTTCTCACTTGTTCTAGGAGTTGGAGAAGAATAAAGCCGATACATTCACATATTCCACAAAGCTGTCTTGCACAACTCCTATGTACCAGCTAACACTCAAGGTACAGTGAGCAAGAGAGATAACGTCTCTATCTGATGGAGCTGCTGTTTTAGAGAAGAAGGAGAGATACTGGACAAATAAGTCAAATGTATTTTATGCCTGATGGGAAAAAGTTCTAGGGTAAGAGGTGGAGTGGGATGGGGTGGTGGGGCTGTGTTTCAGAGGCTGGTGTAAATTCATGTCATTTCTGAGTCCAATTCTGTTGGTAGTTTGATTCTGGACCAAGTTGTTTCTTCTCAATTTTTAAAAATTTCATGACTTACAATCTGTCCTTGAAATCTGCACATTACATGTGGCTATTGAGAGACTGAGATAAATGGTATGCAAGTAGGGCTAGGAGCTTGCATCTTCTTTGGGGGCATTAGTATGGGATATGGGTCAATGTGGGCAGACGTTGCGCTGAGCTGGGTTTTGTTGTTGCTATGGTTACCATCTGTGAGTCACAGGCCTCAAACTCATCTAACCACGATGCCATGTGCTTATGGCATCCAAAGTGTGTCTTCACTGTTTGTGATCCATCTTCTGTTTTGAGTCGTCTCTCCATCACTCATTGCTGTTTGTTACTTGTTGTTTGCTGAACTGATGAGGTGGCGGCGTGGTTGAGTCTTCTCTGTTGTTCTGGCTCAGCCTTAGTCCTTGGTGGGGCTGGTGGGCCTGGATATTCGTGCTGGGACTTTCTCAGCTTTCCTGCCCGTCTCTCTAGCATCTACATCTGCCTTTTAACAATGGGTCTTGTAGAAGAGTTGAGAACTCCTTCCCCAATGGAGGGAGACTTGTAATGGTACTAGAATAGAGTCCTGATCCCAAGACTGTCATCAGCCCCCACTCTATGAGTATACAGATATTTTCTTCCTTCATTTGTCCTGAAGTAACAAGAGGCCTTTACCTGTATCCTGGGAGTGGCAGGGTTTGCTGCTCTTTTTTTCAAGGTACCAGGCATTTGCTTTCTATATTACAAGGGGTGGGGTAGAGGATCAGGCATATAGCTTCATGCCTTTCCCACAGCATCACCCATCACTCACCTCCTACAGAACCAAAAGAGCCTTTCTCCATTTCACCTCTTGCCTTCAACCTTTCACATAGCATTAAGTGGAAAGTCTATAAAAAAGGATTCTGCAAGTGCATGCAACCCTGGCCTCCCACACAGCCGGCTCTGTGTGAATTACTCTGTCTCCATTGCAATTTCTTTGTCTTGATAAATTGGCTCTGTCTAGGCAGCAGGCAAGGTGAATCCATTGGGCAGTTACAAGAGGTTCTGTAACCTCATACTAGTCTACTCCCAGTCTTTAATGAGAGGTTAAAATATTGGCATTTGACCTGGTTCTATGGCCAGAATCCTTTCCTCCCAGGCTCTGCCACAACTGGGGCAGTCCACAGGATCCGTCCTTCTTAGTCAAAGAGCTGTCCCTGAATGGATTTCAGAATATTTAACTACCTAGCAACCTCTGCTTTCTGATAGGCTAAAAAATATGATTTTTAGTTTACATGGCTTTTCTTATCGGTGGTTTCTGAGTGTTGTGGCGGGAGGTGGGGACGATTGGAAAATAACAACTTTCTCACTGCCTTCTTCTTAGTTCTGTGCCTGGGGCCTGTTAATTAATTTGACAAATGGCAGATTAACAGGAGAAAATGCATAGGTTTTCTTATTGATGTTCATAATTTTATGTGTCTGGAGGCTTCGTGAGAAAGAAGCGAAGACCCAAAAAGATGGCAGTTAGACCATGGGCTTATATACCCCTTTCAGAAAGGGTGATACATGGTGGAGACGTGACTGCAGAAAGGAAAAGGGGTTGGGGCACTCAGGGTGGGTAAATTGTGGGAAGGTGACTAGGAAATTGTGGCAAATAGGATTGTTTAGTAAGTGTTGTGATGCAGGTATGAATCCTTCTCCTCCTCCTGGTACAGAATGTGGAGGCACCTGTATAAATGGAAAGTAATGTCACCTTCACAAAGAAAAATGTACACTCTACTTTTAGGCAGGAAGGGAGAGGATAGAGTGTTCTTCCGGCATCTGCTGGTTCTCAGTAGGCTCCAGCTCAAAATATCCCACCAGCCAGAGTGGAGTATTTTGGGTGACATATTGTCATCCCCTCATGAGAAATGCTCTTTTCAACTCTGTGTTCAAGGCAAAGCCAGATGTTTTTAGTGCTTTGAAAGGAATTAAAAACGTTAGTTATGACCCCCAGCCATGGTGACTATAAGCTGTTGGAAACTAATTGTAACAAAGAAAACAATCGTTTCAATCAAACTGAATGGCAAAAAAAAGATAAGTGAATACGTGATTGCTATTTTTCATGTTAATTAGGTCAAGTTAGTCATTAAATATTGTATACATATATTAAAATGTCACAGTGTATATCATAAATATATACGTTTTGGTCAACTAAACCTTAAACTGAAAAGAAGATGGAATAGTTCAAAAACAACAATAGAATTTCCAAGTTAATTTATCAATTCCATATAATCTCTCTTAATTTCCTTTCTTATTTTTTAAGGGAAAAATTTTAATGTCTTTCTGTTTATATGTTTTAATTTTAATTATCACAATTTGGGAAAGCTTCAAAAGTTGAAGACTTTTGGTGTTCTATTTGTTAAGTTCTTTTATTGAAAGATTTTAAAATTAACTTTGACAAAATACGTACAAAATATACAGGATGATTCATTTACAAAATGATCAGTACCACTGTCATATACATAGGTTGAATTACAAAATACTGTCACAAAAGATCAAAGTTTTCCAAAATCCAGTTTAAGGTAAGCAGGAAAAAAATGTATAACAACATACTAAAGTTTGTTTTATTTTTATTCAACATTAATCACAAAAATTTTGTAATTCAGTTACTTTCTGTTTTTAAACATGAGGCAATTCAGTTTCTATTATTGGTGAAATCTGTAGCTTCTTTCCTCCAAATCAATGAAGACTTTCTTCTGAAAAACATAATATTATTTTAAGTTTAAAAGTATTTAAATTATATAACACTTTTTACTAAAATTTGAAAATTAGAAAAATGAAGATTAGAAAACAGAAACTAAAATTAAAATGATAAAAATCTTACCTCTCAAAGGAAAAAAATCTAATAATAATGAGTGAATTTTCTCATATATTAGTAAACCTGTATATAAATGGTTATCTAGGTTTTTTTCAAAAAAAGTTGTCTTAAACTTTTTAATATATGTGAATTAAAGTAGCATTTCCAAAATGATGTCATATATACAAAAAGGTACAACTTTACACAAAAGGTAACCTGAGGAAATAGGAAAGAAAAAGAAATCAACTGACGTTCCTCTGGTTTACTCCTGATGAGTCCTGGGCCTAAGTTTATATGATGAACATTGCTATATTTTGAATGTTTATGTCCCCTCAAAAGTCATATGTTGAAATTTTAACCCCCAACCCCACCAAAGCAATGAAATTAAGAGATGGGGCCTTTGGGGAGTGATGGGCCATGAGGGTGGAACACTGATGAATGGGATTAGTGTCCCTATAAAAGAGGCCCCAGGGAGCTGTCTTATCCCCTCCACCATGTGAGGACACAGTAAGAAGGTGCCATCTGTAAGCCAGGAAGTGAGCCCTCACTGGACACCAAATCTGCTGTCATCTCGCTCTTGGACTTCCCAGCCCCCAGAGCTTTGAGAAATGCACTTCTATTTATAAACTACCAATTTATGGCATTTTGTTATAGCAGCCCAAATAAACCAAAACAATATACACTTATAGCACGACCTACAATATGACTTGCTATTCCCTCTTTATCTGAATGAAACCTTATCCAGATTTAAAATTTGTAATTCACTGCACCATGTTCTGTCTCCAACTCAGCTTTATAAGCCATTGTGTGATTTTTCACAGGCCAATCCAAGACCTTTCAACTATGTCTTATTTGAAAGCAACTGTGGATTTCCAGATCCTCTAATTCTGGGAAGTGTGTGATTCTTCTTCTATGGTAGCCGTAGATGTCCACTTGCTGATTAGCTGGTGACAAGAGCTGGGCAGGCAAGACTGTGGAGACTTAAATAGTGCTTAAGTAATGAAGACTGCAGAGCAAATTTTCTTTCTCCAAAAAAAAGTTGCTTCATTGCATACATAAAATCCTTTCTCCTGGAAATGAGAAAAACAGGTGGCTGCAATTTATATGAGTTACATTGTGACCTCATTTTTGTAATTTACACTTTTTCTTCCTTAATGATAGCTTTTTTTTTTAAAACAGAACTGCTGATGGGTACTTATGTGGCATGATGGGTATTTATATGGCACGATTTTTCTGTGTCCATCTTCTTTTTTGCACTACTTTGAAAAGTTTTAATAAGAAATGTAAGCACTATCTACTGGAACCATAATGAACAAAGAACTAATGCACTTATTTTTGCTTAAAAAATGTAAATCCAAGTAGAGCACTTGTGGAAATCATGAACAAGAACCTTGTGACTCTACATGTTGGTTTTTTACAATTTTTGTCTGTCGAGTCCTGAGTTCTCATTACAGTATAAGATTCTTTTGCCCTATCAAAGGACATAAAATTCAGAAACTCTAAATAAAATAAAGACAAGTTAAGTGGTTCCTACTGGAGGCAGTTAATGCAAAATTAGATGAGTCGATAAAACTGAGTAATTATGATGAGAGTTGGTTTGTTTAATTTACTTTATTTTTTTGAGTAGTTTTAGGTTCATAGAAAAATTGAGAGGAAGATGGATGCTTTTTTGTATGTCCCCTACCCCCAACACATGCACAGATTACCCCATTTCTAACATCCCTCACCAGAGTGGTTCGTTTGTTAGAGTTGACAAACCTACATTGACACATCATTATCACCCAGCGTGCACAGTTGATGTTAGAGTTCACTCTTGGTGTTGCACATTTTATGGGTTTGGACAAATTTAAAATGACACGCCTTCATAGAGTGTCATGCACAATAGTTTTACTGCCCTAAAATTATCTATATTCTGCTTATTCACCCCTCTCACCCCCAATTCCTGGAAACCACTGAAGTTTTTACTGTCTTCACAGTTTTACCTTCTCCAGAACGTCGTATAATTGAAGTCACACAGTATGTAGCCACCTTTTCAGACTGGCTTCCTTAACTTAATAGTATGTTTCTAAGGCTCTTCCACATATTTTCATGGTTTAATAGTTCATTTCTTTTCAGCACTGATTAATATTGCCTGGTCAGGCTATACCACAGTTTATTTATCCATTCACTCACTAAATGGCATCTTGATTGATTCTAAATATTGACAATTATGAATAAAGCTGCTATAAACATCCATGTGCAGGTTTTTATGTGGAAATAAGTTTCCAGCTTTTTTGGGTAAATACCAAGGAGCATGATTGCTGGATTGTATAGTAAGAGTATGCTTAGTTTTCTAAGAGGCCCCAAACTCTCTTCCAAATAGAGTGTACCATTTGGCATTACCATGAATAACAAGAGGATTTGTTGCTTTACCTTCTCACTAGCATTTGGTTTTATCAGTGTTCTGGATATTGACAGTTCTAATAGCTGTGTAATAGATCTCTTTGTTGTTTTAATTTGCATTTCCCTGATGACATATGATGTAAAGGATCTTTTCTTATGCTCATTCCCCATCCATGTATTTTCTTTGGTGAGGTGTCTGTTATAGTCTTTGTCCCATTATTGTTGGAGAAAATTGCTTTTTTTGGTAACTTAATTTTCCATTATTATATTTTATCATACTTTTTCTTCTCTAGTTTTATTGATGTGCCTAAGTATCCTTGGCAACAAGTGTTCTGTAAAGGTCATAAGGACAAGATAAGGGTAAAATGAGAGCTTTATTAGCAGTTTTGTACTCATCAGTGGCTCATGCCTCCCTTCTCAGCATGTAACTCTTCATTTTGCACTGAGCAGTTTTGCACAGTTGTCAGTTTTAAGGTAGTTACATGAGCCAACACAGACATAACCAGCTTCACCACCATTATCACTGGAAGCAATTCT
This sequence comes from Homo sapiens, assembly GCF_000001405.40. Classification (NCBI taxonomy): domain Eukaryota; kingdom Metazoa; phylum Chordata; class Mammalia; order Primates; family Hominidae; genus Homo; species Homo sapiens. The sequence continues at coordinate 126,939,340 of NC_000012.12, read as the reverse complement.
TTATTTTTATTTTTCCAACATTTATTTTAAGTTCAGGGGTACATGTGCAGGATGTGCAGGTTTGTTACATGGAGGTGTGCCATGGTGGTTTACTGCAGAGATCATTGCATCACCTAGGTATTAAGCCCAGCACCCATTCCTTCCTTATGAACTCTTTTTCTTCTGAGTTCTAACAGCCATCCTGGCTAAGACATCATAAAACATCAGACAAAGGAGACGCCGACTCCAGCAATAAAACACTTCCTGACAGTATTGAACACATTAATACACACCCAAACACACACACACACAAACACATACACATAGACACACACAAATACACATACATATATACATACACACAAATATATGTATATGCATCTACACACACGTACTTATATAAACACAGAGATATATACACATGCATGCACATATACATGTGTGCATTCACACACGTGCATTCACATGCATATATACACACATGCATACATATATACACATAATTATATATGTGCATACATATATACACATAAATAAATATACACATGCATACATACACACATACACAAGTGCACATACATATACATGTACACATATACACACAGATATACACACAGATATACACAATACACATACCTATATACACACAGTGCACATACCTATAGACAGACACATATGTGTACAAATGTTTACACACATACATGTATATACACATACCCATGCATATATATAAACACACATGTATACATACATATATACGCACTATATATAAATATAAACATACATACAAAATGTATACATACAAGTGTATATACACATACATATAGGCATATACATTTATGTAAGCATACAATACATACATACATATGTTATTTCTATACACATGCTATATGTACTCAATTATATAAGTACACATGTATGTATTTTCTCTACTTCCTTTGGATATTCTAAGAACAATATTGATCCACTCATCCATCACATATTTCCTGGGGGCTATCTATAAGCTGGCCATTTTGACAGATTGCATGATATGTTAGAAAAAAGGCAAAAACCTGCTCCTTCTGCCCCTTATATTCACTAGTGATTTAGTGCCACTGAACCTGAATGGACACGAGAGGAGCACGAAGCAGATGATGAGGGCTGTGAGATGGAAAGGAGAGATGCTCTTACTAACGATTGTGATTAATAATTGTTGACAGATAATGACAGTACTCATGATGATAATGATTGTTATTATCACCTGGAAGATTATTCAGCAAATAGTCCTTCTCCTCTCTGCTATTACAGGGGACAAAAGTGCTTTCTTTCCTAGTGATGTTGGGCATGGCCATAGACTGACTTTCGGCAGTGGGATGTGGGCAGAGGCAGCAGAGTGCCTCGTAAAAAAATATGTGACACGTCTGCCAGCCTCTTATGCTCCAGTGCTCCAGAAGGGATCTGAATGCAGGCTGTCATGGGCACCATCTTAGTATGTTTATTAAGCCCTTCCATGTGGGTCAGGAGGCTTAATAAACATACTAAGATGGTTATTTTGTAGGTTCTTGTGGTGAGAGAGCAACATTTCGTAAGGCCTCTTATTCTTCCAACCTGCCCTTCTCCATCTGCATGGAGACTGGGGAGAAGAATCCAGGAAATTTCCTTTTCTGACATCCCTGCAGCTCAGCAAGGCCCCTTGATGATGTGGCATTTGCTTATGATCTTGGGGGAAAGTCCATTTATCAGAGGTTATTAACCAGGAGTGCACTTTAATCAATCACAAATATTTATCTGCCACACACAGAGGACAGAGTAGCTAACTGACAGAAGAGTGTCTTGTCTCTATGGCACTTTTAATCTATAGGAGAGCATTTTCAAAACCCAAATGCCTGACTGTAGACTTTCTGTTTTGGTGGGTATGAATTTGACACTGTGCTTTTAAAAAATGACAACTGCCACAAAGCTTCTCATCACATTTTGATGGGCAGAAAACTGCTGAGCCCAAGTTATAAGTAACAGGTTTGCTTATTGGTAATAATAAAAATTATACATATTAAAAAATGTTGTCCCGCATATAATTCCTTCTTTTCAAATTATTCATAGAGGCAGGAGGCAGAGAAATTCTAGGCAGACGGGGGTGGATCCCCAGTGAAACCACGCCTTCAAGCCAAAAATACAAATAAAAAATCAGCCTGGAACCGCTGGCCCAACGTGAGATCTTCTATTCTTGTTTGCCCGCTCTCTCCCGATTGGTTCTTTCTGAATCACACCTTTTTACCAATCAAATGTAGCCTTTTCCAAAATTACCTACAGCCTGCCCCAATCCCATCCTGTGCCTAGGAAGACCCCAGACTCAGTCAGTAGTGGGAGAGATGGCTGGACCTGGAGAGAGATGGCCGGACCTTGAAGGAGATGGCGGGACTTCGGGGAAGATAACCTGCCCTTCCCATCCTCTCTCCAGCTCTCCTCTCTGCTGAGAGCAGTTTTCATTGCTCAGTTAAATTCTCCACTTTCACTATCCTTCAGTTGTCTGTGTGACCTCATTCTTCTTGAATGCAAGACAAGAGTTTGGGACTCACCAAGTGTGGGTACCCAAAAAGGCTGTCACACTGGCTCATTGCCCTCCCCGGCAGAGGACAGCTGACTCATGCAATGAGGCAAGGAGCCAACTGAGCTGCCAACACGCTGCCATCCAGAAACGGCAGAACTAAAAGAGCACCGTAACACCTCCTCTTGGGCTTCAGGGCCACAGGCATCCCCACCTAGGTGCCACCACAGGCCCTGCAGGACCAGCCAGCTGGACCCTGCACTTGCTCGCTCACGTGCTGCCTCCTGCAAGGGGGTGAGTGTGGCAGGCCAGCTAAACCACACATCCCTGTCACGGGTCCAGCAAAAAGGCCGAAGATATTTTTGTATTATTATGACCACCTGCTAAAACTGAAAGTTGCAGAATTCACTATGAAATGGTGAGTGATAAAGTTCTCATTTACGTGGATATGTTTTTTTGTTTCGTTTTTAATGAGACAGTCTCACTCTACCACCAAGGCTGCAGGGCAGTGGCACCACCATAGCTCACTATAGCTTTGACCTCCCTGGGCTCAGGTGATCCTCCTGGCTCAGCCTCCTTAGTGACCAGGACCACAGGTGTGCATCACCTCACCCACCTAATTTTTGCGTTTTTCATAAAGACAGGAGTCTCTCTATGTTGTCCAGGCTAGTCTCGAACTCCTGGGCTCAAGTGATCCATCCACCTTGGCCTCCCAGAGTGCTGACATTATAGGCATGAGCCACTACATCCAGCCTAGGTGGAATCATAATAATAGTTTTCTCCTACTAGGACATTTGATTATTTTCTTTAATATTCATTACCTAATGCCTACTAGACTTTCTGGTACAGAGAAAATAGTTAATATATATTTTTAAATAATTAAATTCGAAGTTAGCACCTACTCTAATTATTAGGATGGTGCAAAAGTAATTGTGGTTTTTGCAGTAATCTATAATTCGTTCATTCAGCAAGTATTTGTTGAGCACCGAAGCCCACTTAATACTGTGCACAAATACACTGTTCCCATCTTCTTGTGAGAACAGGAGATTGTCTGATTGGACTCCTTAGGTGCAAGCGTGTGGATGTTTGAGGTGGTAAAACTGGAAGCATTCTGTGCTTGCACTTGGCTTTTTACCTTTCTTCTTCTCTGCACTGTGGATCTGACAGCTTGTCTTAAGATTCACTCTTTATCATCCTGATTCCCTGAGTATCTCCGGGAACAGAGTCTCCTAACCCCATTAGTTCATGTTCGTCATTGAACATGATTGAAAATACTCTCTTGTTATTACAAGCCGCTGGTAATTTGATTTTGTTTAGCATAACCTGATCCACCCTGACTGACACAAGCCCCACTCTCTGTTAAATACTGTATTAGATGCACTAAACACACAAAGAACAAAACAGTCTCTACACTCAACGTACAGAAAAACCTAGTAAGTTGGCAGATGGATGGAGTGGCTACCCTCTTGCAAATATGAAATATGCAACACAGTATTGTTACCTGTAGTCACATCGTTTTACATTAGATGTCCAGAACCTATTCATCTTTCCGCAGTGAAACTTTGTACCCCCTGACTGAACCCTTACTGTCCCCTTCTCCCCACATCCTGGCAACCATCATTCTACTCTTTGCTTTTATGGGCTGGACTATTTAAATTCCACAGAGGAGTGAGTTCATGCACTATTTGTCTTTCTGTGTCTGGTTAATTTCACTCAGCATACGTCCTCCTGGTTCATCTATGTTGTTACAAGTGGCAGAATTTCCTTCTTTTTACAGGTTAATAGTATTCCCCTGTGTGGACACACCCACACAGACACACACACACACACACACACACACACAATGTTTTATTCATTCATCCATTGACAGAAATTTATAGTGTTTCTATTATAAAGATAATTATATTTCTATATGTTTATATTACCTATATTATATTGTTTATATATCTTGGCTATTTGTAAACAATGCACAAGTGACAGTGGGAGTGCAGCTGCGTCTTCAACATACTCATTTCATCCCTTTGGATACATACTTAGAGGTGGGATTGCTGGATCATAATGTGGTTTTTATACAGTGGATACCACCAGATGCTTGAGCTAACTCTTTTGAGTGCATGTTTTTGGTTTTTTGTTTGTTGTTTGTTTTTGTTTTTGTTTTTGTTTTGAGCAGGAGTCTTGCTCTGTCGCCCGGCCTGGAGTGCAGTGGCACGATCTCGGCTCACTGCAAGCTCTGCCCCCCTGGTTCACGCCATTCTCCTGCCTCAGCCTCCTGAGTAACTGGGACTGCAGGCGCCCGCCACCACGCCCAGCTAATTTTTTGTATTCTTTTTTTTTTCAGTAGAGACGGTGTTTCACCGTGTTAACCAGGATGGTCTCAATCTCCTGACCTCCTGATCTGCCCACCTCGGCCTCCCAAAATGCTGGGTTTACAGGCGTGAGCCACCGCGCCCGGCCGAGTGCATGTTTTTTTAAACAGGGTCTTTCTTTGTCACCCAGGCTGTAGTGCAGTGGTACACTCATAGCCTCAATCTCCCAGGCTCAAGCAGTTCTCCCACGTTAGCCTCTCAAGTAACCGGAACTAAAGGTATAGGCCATCATGCCTGGCTAATTTTTGTATTTTTTGTAGAGGCAGGATCCCCCTATGTTGCCCAGGCTGGTCTTGAACTCCTGGCCTCAAGAGATTCTCCTTCCTCAACTTCCTAAACTGCTGGGATTACAGACATGAGTCTCCTCGCCTGGCCTTTGAATGCATTTTTAAGGAGTGAATAATACAATTGTTATTTAATATCAACTTGTAATCTAAAGACAGTTTTGTAAGTGTAACAGATTATTGATTTGTATTTGCAAATTTTGTTTTTGGGTAAGAAATTGGGATATTAAACTTGACGACTTGACTCTAATGTAGATATTACACAAATACTTCTGACTTTGTTTTTCCTTTAAGGAATATAGAGCTTAAGTAAAATACTTATCTGAAAGTTATCACGTGGTTTTAGTTAAGCAAATAACTGTTTTTGTTCTTATTTTTAACAAAATAATCACATGTGGTAGCAGACAGGCTATTCCATTTCCTTGTTACACATTCTTTTATAAAGAGGGATTTCCAGCATTTAAAAGATGCTATATTGTCTTCAAAATAGCCTCTGAATTCCAATAACATTTTCCTGAATTTAGAGAAACAACCATTATTAATTTAGAAAACAAATTAAATTTTGCATTAACAATCACAATTTTTAAAAAAGCTATGGAGTATATAAGAGTGTGTGTATAGATGTAGAATGCAGATTTTATTCATGAAATAGCTTCTTTGCGTCTTTTAAAATAGAACATTTGACATGCGTGTCTGACTTTTGGGAATAAACTCAGAAAACACATCAGCTGCTCTTCTGCTCATGCAGTTTAATGTGTACATTTCAAAAGCATTGCCAATTATGAGGTTGAGTTGTACTCAGCTGATTTCTTAGGTTCCATAATTTTAAAATCATAGAATAAAGCATAGCGGTACCTATGTTGATAGTATGTGAAAAGGACACGTGATGAAAATAATTATTATATGATTATAATATGTTAATTCATTTCTAAAGGTTCTGAGTTTTGTGAACCATAGTTTGGAATAATATTTATTAGTTCTACCATTACCCTATAGCAGCTCCTAATGGGACACCCCAGAAATTGCAGCGGCACCATTTGAGATGATAGGTTTTCCATAATTATGAGATAAATCTTCTATGATTAAATTTAGTAAAATATGTTCATCCTAGGAAATTCCTGTTAGATGGTAATGCAGGTTTTTATTTGTTTAAGACAGAAAATACTATTTTAATATCAAATGTTAAACATAATTTTAGCAGTGGTCTAATAATTAATTCAGCATATATACATTAACCATGTACTTGACACTGGTGTACAATTGTAACAGAGATGAGATTTTCCCTTATAGCTATTCTTTTCTTCTCACTTGAATAGAATGTACAGTGCTTTGTCTGGCATCTCTCAAAAATAGATATTTCTGAGCCTCCATTGGAGCTCAGATCCAATGTGATCATTTGACTCAGTTGTGGCCAATGAGATGTGAATAAGAAATGATGTGTGTATCTCCTGGGACCTGGCCCTAAGAGGAAGGAGAAAGTCATCTTGATCCAGGTAGATAATGACAACAAACAAGTGATGGCTGAGTAACAAGTCACAAATAGCCTAGAACCCTGACAGTCACACAGAGGACAGTCTCCATACGTATTCAGATGGGTACTTGATAGAGAAATACATTATCTTTTATAAATAAATAAGACATTAAGTGTTCTCTTACTATACTCAAATCTACATGCAAACAGTGGGGAAAAAGTACAGTTTAATATTAATAGCAACAGCCTCTGTTAATTGAACAGTCTCATTCTCATTAGTGTATTTCACTCTCTTAACTACCTTATAAAGTAGTCGCTACTATCTTTCATCTATAGACAGTGTGAATGACATCACTAACAAATATATCCCAGGGTCAAGCCCAGGTTCATTTTCCTTTTCAGCTTTCTGTATTACAAAAGTGATTGTAAGTTTCATGTCAGAGGTCAGTTCTAACAGATTAATGGTAACTCCCCAAAGTCTTATGTTGAGAAGTCTTCTTTGGACACAAATGCTCTCAGGTTGGGAAGAAATTAATATGCTATGATTTATTGGGTGAGATTTCAATAGAATCTTGGCCCTCTTACAGCCATGTGCCATTTTTCGAAGAATACCTCTCTTTAAAAATAGAAAATCAGAAGACATTCCAGGGTGATAAGTTGAAACATGCATGTAGCAATTTTCTTTTCTTTTTTTAAATTTTTAATTTTTTTTTATTTTTGAGCCAGGGTCTAGCTCTGTCACCCAGGCTGGAATGCAGTGGCATGATCTCAGCTCACCGCAACCTCAGCCTTGTGGGTTCAAGACATTCTCCCGCCTCAGCTTCCTGAGTAGCTGGGACTACAGGCATGCACCGCCACACCCAGCTAATTTTTGTATTTTTAGTAGAGACTGGGTTTTGCCATATAGGCCAGGCTCGTCTGGAACTCTTGACCTCAAGTGATCTGCCTGCCTCTGCCTCCCAAAGTGTGGGATTACAGGTGTAAGCCATGGCACCCAGCCTGCAATTTTCATTTCTTAACGTGTCCTCACATACTCATGTCTTAATTAATGCCTAGTGCATCTGGACACTCCACAAAATATGACTTTCTTATTAACCTACAAAACAAGCAATACATATATTAATATCCCTACTTTAAAACTGTAGAGACTGAAAATTATAAAGGCTGAATTACCCAGTGAGTGGGCGGTAACATCTGAAATGGAACTCAGATTTTGCAACTAGGGTTCTAGACATGGCAGGGCCAAGGGAACACAGTAGAGCTTGAGGAACCAGATGGGTGGATGTTCCTATGAGATACAAGATAGCAGCTTTTCTCACTGCCAAGAGATTCAATGTAGAAAGAGATGAGGCAATTAGTGCTGAAGATGACCCTCAGCCTGGGAGCAGCAAAAAAGGAGTGCAGAGTCGAACAATAGTTCTGGCAGGAAAATGCCTTCTCTCTTCTCATTTATCCTCAAAAGGCCACCTGGGCAGACAGGTGGCATGATTGCTCTCCTTTTGCAAATGGGAAAAGTAAAGCAAATAAAGATGGAAGAATCTTCCTGAGTGCCTGCGTGATGAAGGTCAAAGGAGAAAGACGCTAGTGTCCTTGTTCGGCGTTTACCCCAGGAGCGCTGGATGACTTCTCTACACCACAAAGAATCAACTTTATTCACGAGTAGAGGCTATCCTTTAAACAAATATGTTTGGTTTCATTTCGATTTTGTGCATTCCCTGTACTTTATTTTCTCTGGATGAGAAGGAAACAGCTAAGCGTTTCTTTTCATCCACAAGAAAGCCGAGAACACCATCCTCTGCCACGTGATGTGCCATCCCCTCCATCATCTTGTCTATAGGGTTCTTGATTAGACATTCCATCTGCTGTGAGCTGAGCTAAATGAGTCAATAAATAGTGGCAAGAAAGATATTTTCAGAAAAATTAAGGCTGGTTGCTGCAAAATTCGTGGGTCCTGGTATGTAGTGCAGGCCGAACAGTGTAGAAAAGTCTACATTCTGGAAGCAGAACAAGTCCCTAAATCTGTCTGATAGTTGTTGATTCAGGCTAAGAGGGGCATTCTTGGAATTTACAAAAGATAATCATATATGTGGGATTTGGTTATGCATATCACAAACTCGACCCCTATAAACCCATAGTTTAGAAGATTTTTAGGAAAGGAGAGGAATGGAGGTAACACAGAAAGATACCCCTGGGATGTCTGAAGGTGATGTTACCGGATGATGTTACCGGATGGTGTTACCGGATGGTGTTACCGGATGGTGTTACCCGATGATGTTACCGGGTGGTGTTACCAGGTGATGTTACCGGATGGCTGCCTCAGCCGGCCCTTCACAGAACAAATTCTGCAGCCATTTCTAGCCCGGTCGTGAATATCTATCTACGGAAACAAGAAACATCTATAATAACTAATATAGAGTGAAACACAGAACGTTAATTATTCTTGAAAAAAAGCCCCCCTCCTCCTACCTTTGGACACCTCCCAGAAACAAGGTTCTTAAGACAAAAAAAGAGAGAGAAATGTTTTCATAAACTATTCTTTATCTAAAAGACAAAACTATATAACTTAAATAAGTTGAATCTGGGATTATTCATACATTATTTTCATAACCTTTTTGAATACAAAGTTTTAAAAACTATTTCTATTTCTTTGTGAGAAAATCTGTTTTAAATCAGTACATTGGTCAAAAATAATAATTAGGAAATTGTGATTCTTAAAAATTAACATTATCCAAAGAATAAATTACAGATTTTCTTCTAAGTATTTTGGGAATTAGAGGGGTAAGAAGTTGATCTCAAACATAGTTGAGAATATTTTCCTAAATGGCTTATAGCTATATTCATTTTTGTATAATGTGGGGCCATTTGGACCTATAGCTAATGATATTACTTCACTTTATTATTATCTCACATATATAACATATGTTATGCTTGACAATGCCAAGAGTCTGAACTCATGGACATTTAAAGACTCCTCAATATTCAAATTTGATGGTAAAAGATTTCTATTAAAATATTCCATAGAATTGAGTCTTTTAATGAATATTTTCTTACCCTCATGTTAATAAGCATTAAAGAAAAATAGGAAATTAGAATCCAGTATTTGGGATCTCACTGATTTCTCCATTTTCTATGACACTTGATGTTCTCCAAGCTGAATTGTCACTAAGAATTTGAACTGCAATTGTCAGCAAAGCAATGAGCAGTTTGTGAGTCTGTCCTCACCTGGGCTCTGTGGAGCTGAGAACCCAGCTTTGTTTGCAGTGATAGTTATGCTATTAATGTATTCTTAGAAAGAGGGGAAGATTGTTTATACTGAGGTTTTGACTATGTTTTTGGTTGTTGCTTTAATAAGGACATGTATTTTCCTTACAGAAATTGCTTCCAAGGTGTGGGCATCAGGAGGCTCAGGCAGTTTAAGGTGGTATTTTGTGCATAAAATTAGATTCATGTAACCTAGGTTTGTGTCTCAGCTCTGCTAATGGCTGGTTATGTGTCTTTGTGCAGCTAGCCTGTAGTTAGGAAGCCTCTGCTTCCTCATCTGTAAAATGGATATAATGATAAGTCAAACTCACACAAGTGTTTTGATGACATAATCAATGACAGCATTGAGAGAACAATACTTTAATCACTTCGCATCATGAACATTTTATTTTTAGATTCCAATTCCATGTCATTCTAATGTGGTTGTGAAATATGTGCTTTCATTCATTAATAACATTTTTCCTAGCACTGCCTATGTGCTCTATATTATTCTAAGTGCTTTTCAAATATTAACCCAAGTTATTCTCACGACAACCTTGTAAAGTAAGTCTCCCCGTTTTACCAACAGAGAAACCAAGGCACAGAGAGATTTGCTGGCTTGCCTCAGATTATACAGCTAGATCTGAGTCCCAAAAGGCCAGTTCTGGAATCTATGACCCCAACTCTGAGACTATCCTGCAGCTCCACACCTCGAATCCACACATCAACTCTGTGGAGCCATGAGACTGCTCCAGCTGCTGGGACCAGTGGCTCAACAGGATGGGCATGTTTATATTTATAACATATAAATACACAGACATATACATATATAACAAAATATATAAATAACAAAATATGTAAATAGATACATAACAAAATACATAAAGCATATATAAAAATACATATATATATAATATATTACATCATACCTTCAAATAACATCATTTCTTTCAACATCTTTTCATTATAACATCGGTAAAAAAAGATTGCTTGTGTTAGATGTAATTTCACTTAAAGTCACAGTTTCCAATAACCTATTGACAATGTCACGTGAAGGTTTACTGTATGTGAGAGAGAGAGCAAGAGAGAGAGAGAGAGACAGAGAAAGGACACTCCAATCCTGAGAGATGAAACTCTACTGATTTGAACAACAAAAAATGTCCGACCTAGATATGTTCCTATAATAAATTGTTAGTGAGGTAAACCTGGCCAAACCTCATGAGTATATATTGGCCAAACCTCATAAGTATATATCTTGATGATTTAATAATTAATATGCTCTGCCTAATATATGCCTTTATAATAGGTAATAATTTGTATTACAAAAGTGCAAACATGTTCAATTAAAACAGCATCTGTTATTTAATACACAAGGTCAATGCGATTTCTAGAATGTGAAGACCGTGGCTACCAAATGGCTAGCAGTCACCTGGCCACATTACGTAAGATGCATATGCACGCTACAATGTTCAATTCTGAGTTAACTGGTCTGAAAACTGATTCATGTATTAATTCCAGGCTACCTATGATAGTAAAACTATCAATACTAGGAGAGGCACTTGGTTCTGGTTTGAGATTGAATTTCCCCTAATTAATTACACTGTGGGTGCATTCTTTCAGTTCTATGATCTGTGTTTACAGGATTATACAAAGATAATACCATGTGATAGATGCAAGCTAATGCATGCACCCCTTTTATTATACATAGGGCTGCATATTCAATTTTTCTTTCTTTCTTTCTTTCTTTTTTTTTTTTTGAGACCGAGCCTCACTCTGTTTTCCAGGTTGGAGTGCAATGACACAATCTTGGCTCACTGCAATCCCATCTCCACCTCCCAGGTTAAAAAAATTCTTCTGCCTCAGCTTCCCAAGTAGCTGGGATTACAGGTGTACACCACCACACCCGGCTAATTTTTGTAATTTTAGTAGAGATGGGGTTTTGCCATGTTGGCCAGGCTAGTCTCAAACTCCTGGCCTCAAGTGATCTACCTGTCTTGGCCTCCCAAAGGGCTGGGATTATAGGCATGAGCCACTGTGCGTGGTCCACATATTCAGTTTTTACCTACTGTTTCTCTTTCTCACAAACTAAGCCAAACATTTGGTTCCAACTGATTTCTTCCTCTTCTTTCTGACATAGTCAATGAATTTCTAAAGTAAAAGAATGGAATTTCAGCTACAAAACAACATAAGAATGGTTTTCTTTAAAAAGTGCACCTATCACTGTTTTGGAATTTTTTCCCTAGTACTGCTTATTTATCTGGCCATCAGAAACAGTGGCAGATGCCTACATTTTGATAAAACATTTTAGAAAATATGCCAGAGACTGAGAGCAGGAGAAACTGCTGAAGGAGAACATAATGTTCATATTTATCTAAATGTGTTTATTTACATTAATGTTTTTATTGGTAGCAGAATATGGTGACATGCAGACTTTTTCTAAAATGTAATATGTAATGCTTCGTTCAGGGCGCAAAATTTTTCTTACAATTTCTACCTTATATATGATTGAGTGACACTTTGGAAAGATCACTGCTGTCCAAATGTTCTCTCTACATTTTAATCCAATACAAATATACTGTATTACTTTAAAACTTTTTTCCCCAAAATTGTATCCATTATGATCATGGGCAAGGATGATGTCTAGGATATGATTCTGAGATTGTATAAGTGATACGAGATCGAGGAAAACGTTGTTTAAAGAGAGGTAAATAAACTGAAAGCACAGGCATGTAAAAGGATTATTTGTGTGAAAACTGGAACCACAAAGAATGATGATAAAAGAGTGTTGAGGAGGGGGAGGGGGAGCCAAGAATTGAAAGCTTTATGACATGAGGAAGGAGGACATTTGTGTCATCTACCAATAAGTAGGACAAAGATAGACAGTAATGGTGAAATTTGAGTTTCAAAACACAGTGATTAGTAACATTGCAGAAGAAACAATGAAAAACAAGCAGGATGCCTACTTTATGCCTAGAGTCAAGAGTCACCACGAATTGGTGGATGAATACGTTAGTTTCATTTCTCTATTGTCAAGGGAAGATAACTCTCAGGTGTGTATTCTATGCTCCTTCCAAATGTTCCTCACTGAGTTTAAGCTCTGATTGCCCCACAGTGGTGACCAGCTTGATAGCACTCCTTTTAAAAGCTTCTTCCCTTTTCTTTCTCACTACTTCACATTCCTACAGTGTTTTCTGATAATACGGACCAAAGAAATTATTTGCACTTGAATTCTCATCTCAGTGTCATCCTCTAGCTGATGACATCATGAGAAAACTGCATCCTCCACTTTGCTGATTATGAGGAAAGAACCCACCAAGCTACCCCGAGGTAGGGTAACACTCGAACTGACGAACACACATGACTTTCTAAAGAAATGTGTAAACACTTGGACTCTTCTATCAACCTTTCTATGCTCTCATAATTTTCACTAACGATCTTTGCAAGTGGTTGCCTATCACCTCATTTTGGAAAATGGGTGTCCTTATTACCCGTGTTTGTCTAAGCCAGCAAGAGTCCTTTATACAATCCCTTTTGAGGAATGAGAATAAGTAGAAACACTGACAGGCCAAAATGATTTTAGTAATAGGGCAAGTAGAGTTCAAACCTATTGAGCTCTCTTCCCAAACTGTGCTATTTTGCTATGAGAGAATCCTTATTCTGAATTTGAGGTTTATTATTCTCAGAAGCTCTTTTCATTTTGTGCTTTGGGTGCTCCTGGTCATGAGAGCTTAAACCCCTATCAACCAACCACTTGAATTAAGAGTATCCACAAACAAAATTGCAAATACAGGCTTATGATTACCAGATTTCATGGATATTAATATTTCATAAGGAGACTTAAGCTATTTCATTGCGTTTTACATTAGTTGTTTTAATAAATCTTTTCCTACCAGCGGCACTGACAAATTTAATAGACTTTATAAATAATTGGTCAATACCGAATGTGTCATAAATTTACTCCATCTGTGGAAAGAGCCCCAGTTGCTACTTTTGTGTTATGTTCTTCCAAACAACCTGTAAGTCACAATTAATGCTGGTTAAAATTGTGACAGGTATTTGACTTTGTCAATGACAAGTTTTGTTTGAATGCCAAAGAAGTTTAATTCCCTATAATTACAGATTATGACACTGCAAATTTCCCTCAGCTCTAACCTAGTGCTATTGATAAGAACACTTTTAATGAAAGACACTCAATGGAGGAAGAAAATCCAAGTTTAGTGAAACAAGAGAAATGTAAATCAGAGTCACAGAAAGCTACAAAAAAAATCCTATTATTTAATTTGAAAATAAACACATCAATCTTTCAGTTTGATTGTTATGACTTTTTGTGGTATATGCTTTAAAATTATAGTGCTTTCATCAAAAGTTTAAAATTATATAATGTCTCCACGTACGTAAAGTAGAAACACTGGGGATTTGTTTTAATGCTTTGAGTTTCTGGGTGTAACTTTGGGGCAAATAGTTTGTATCGAGTTGTAGTCTTTTGCTTTTATCTCAATGATTATTCAAGCTATTTGCCAGGCAGACAGTAGCATTCAAGATGTTTTCAACTCTGAGAAAGGTTGCACATAACCTTCACTAGAGCAGACTGAACTTTCTTCTCTTTTTTTTTTTTTTTTTTCTGAGACGGAGTCTCGCTCCGTCGCCCAGGCTGGAGTGCAGTGGCGCGATCTCGGCTCACTGCAAGCTCCGCCTCCCGGGTTCACGCCCTTCTCCCGCCTCAGCCTCCCGAGTAGCTGGGACTACAGGCGCCCGCCACCACGCCCGGCTAATTTTTTGTATTTTTAGTAGGGACGGGGTTTCACCGTGTTAGCCAGGATGGTCTCGATCTCCTGACCTCGTGATCCGCCCGCCTCGGCGACCCAAAGTGCTGGGATTACAGGCGTGAGTCACCGCGCCCGGCCGAGAAGACTGAACTTTCTTAAAGGCATTTGAAGCCACACCCTAGTATCTACAAAAAAGAAATTAAACAAATAGCTGGGTATAGTGGTGTATATCTGCAGTCCTGGCTACTCAGGAGGTTGAGGTGGGAGGATCACTGGAGACTAGGAGTTCCAGGCTGCATCAAGTTATGATCGTGCCACTACACTGCATCCTGAGCAAGATTGAGGCCCTGAATTTTAAAATATAAATTAAAAGAGATATGAGGATATCATTAAAGTATTTGACCTTCTCATTAGTTTTAAAAAAACAACAACACACAAACACAAATTTAAGTCTCAGATAATGTAAACTATTTTTTTTTCCTTTGGGAAACATTAGATATAAAGTGAATATCTATCTTTGAAACACGGAATGCTGATTGTGAAAATGTGAAGTTTATGAAACACTAGGTTAGAGTTCAGGGAAATGAGCATTGTTATTTAGAAATTGAGAGCTACATGGTAATTGACAGCAAACGCTTTAATGTGCTGTTGAATCAAATAGCACTAAAATTTATAATAATTTTCATGAATAGAAGGTATTGTATATTCTGTTCAATGAATTATTTAGAGCCTAGAAATAATATCCTTTCTACAAACATAAAAGTAGTACCACCACTCAAGTCAATGTTTTAATGAGTTCTCTTTTAACCGGGCTAAATGCTTGCATTTGAAGGCTGCCCTGGTCAATATTTTACTTATTTTGGAAGAGCTGGCATTTCCTTTAGAGACACTGGCCTCTTTCTAATAAAAGTGGAGCACACAAGGTATATTGATATTTGAGTTATAGATATTATAATGTTCAATGAAATCACGGGGCAGGATTAGTCATCTCTGCCATTGGCTGAGGGTTATTGTGAGCTGTGCTTGTGGGCTGGTGTCTGGCAGATGTTTCTTGGGACCATAAACATCTTGGGGATGTAAACTTGGGGGCCATGAGGGCGCTCTAGCTGAGCCTGTACCTGTCCCACAGTGTGTGACATCCCCGTGCAATTCCACAGCGTGGAGAGTCCAGCCCTCAGCCACTCCGACGCCGGTTCACTGGAGAGTGTCCTGTGCTCTTGGCTCACCTGTGTGGACAGAGGTGTGTGCTGCTTTCCCACTCTCTGATGGGGACAAGTAGATTTTCCTGAGCTCAGCCTTGCCTCAGGATGGAAAGTGAACCTTTTTTTCAGGGGATGAGACCAACAAGGGCTCCAGGCTCAGTGAGTTCTCCTTGGTGTGTGTATTTGTGTATGACCATAACTATGGATCTTATTGGGATGAACAAGCACACTGTGTTTCCAGATTCACCCCACTCCACGGGGACTTTTACTTTAACTGACATCTGTCATAATTTACATTCACAGAACTGAGACTACCATACACCTAAGAAGTCAAAGTTGCTATTCAAGGGGAAGTGCAAACACAAGATGAGGGAAACTGATGTATTTAGTGTCTACATTTTACAAATGGATGCTTTTCATAATATGAAAATACTGCACCATAAGATTGCCAGTCACAACAGCACGGCTACAGTGAAAATGTGAGTTCACAACACAGTGCAGATCTTGCAGTTGGCTAATAGAACGTGAGTTTTAAAGCTGTTTAATAAGTGTCAGTCTTTTTTTTTTCCAGGATCCCAGTGGATTTGTTACGGTGAGAAAGCTTCACTTGGAGACAAAGCCAAAACCTTCCTCCCAGGCTCCCTTGGATGTAGGGGGAAGCAAACTGGCTGTCCAGGCCTCTGAGCCACATCTACACACCTCATGAGAGGGCCTGTGCAACATTGCCTTAGAGATGGAGAGCATTGCTTCAGAATCAGGGAAGCCTAAATTTCACCCCTGGGGCTGCCCCTTGTGATCTTGAGTAAGTTACATTCCACAAGTCTCCATTTCATTTTCTGTAATTTGGGATTAATTATAGAATCTATTTCCTAGGACAGTTGGGTGGATCAATTAGATAATATATGTAAAGTAGTTAGCACTAAGTTTTGGATTGAACGTAGATATTGTTCAATTAATGGTGACTACTTGGCCAGGTGCAGTGGCTCACACCTGTAATCCCAGCACTTCGGGAGGCCAAGGTGGGCCGATCACTTGAGGTCAGGAGTCTGAGACCAGCCTGGCAAATGTGGTGAAACTCCATCTCTACTAAAAATATAAAACTTAGCTGGGCGTGGTGGTGCATGCCTGTAATCCCAGCTACTCAGGAGGCTCTGAGGCAGGAGAATCGCTTGAACTCTGGAGGCGAAGGTTGCAGTGAGCCGAGATCACTCTACTGCACTCTAGCCTGGGTGACAAAGCAAGACTCCGTCTCAAAAAAAAAAAAAAGTGGTGACTACTGTTATTAGTAAAATAATATAAAATTATTCAAACAATACTGTTATTAATAATGATACTGTTATAATAATTACTATTATTATTAAAGGTTGGCTTTATTGCAGCAACCTTGCTGATTATCTCTGAATGAGAAAACTTTTTTAGAATCATTTAAAGGTGCTTAAAGGTGCTAGCACCTTACTCTTCCTGGATATAGATTTTAGTGCCAACTTGTAATATGGGCTTATAGAATTAAAAATAGCAGCTTATCATTCATATTATGCTTTAAAAGTATTTTAGATGAATCAGCATCATATTGTAATTATCTACTTAAAATACATCCAAACTTTTATACATATTATTACCCAACACTAAACTAAATGAGCAATTCGCATGATTGCAGAAGTGGAAAACAAACATTCTGATCAAAATCAGAACATAATGTTTGCATATATATATTTAGACAGCTTTATTGAAATATAATTAACATACTACACAATTCACAATTCAGTGTTTGTAAGTATATTCACAGACTCATGCAACCATCACCACAATCAATTTTAGAACATTTTTATTGCTCAGAAAAGAAATCATGTAACCATTATCAATCACTGCCCATTACTCCCTCCTCCCAGGCCCTGGCAACCACTAAGTTGCATTCTGCCTCTGGACTTACCCATTCTGGACTTTTCATATACATAGAATCATAGGCCAGGTGTGATGGCTCACGCATGTAATCCAAGTATTATGGGAGGCTGAGGCAGGAGGGTATCTTGAGCCCAGGAGCTTGAGACCATTCTGGGCAATATAGTAAGGCCATGTCTCTACCAAAAAAAATTAAAAAATTAGCCAGTTGTGATGGTGAACACCTGTAGTCCCAGCTACTCAGGAGGCAGAGGTGGGAGGATCACTTGAGCCCAGGAAGTGGAGGTTGTGGTGAGCCATGATCCTGCTGCTGCACTCCAGCCTGGTGGCAAAGCGAGAACTTGTCTCAAAAAAACAAAAAACAAAAAAAAAATGAAAAGAATAGTATAATGTGTAATGTGATAGAAGAATAATGGACCCCAGAGATGCCCACAGCTGAATCTCTGGAATTTGTAAATACATATTACTTTACATAGCAAGAAGGGATTTTGTAGCTGTGATTTAAGTATCTTGAGCTTGGGAGATGATCCTAGATCACCCAGGCACATCCTATGTAATCATAAGGGACCTTATAAAAGGGAGGCAAGAGGGTCAAAGTCAAAGAGGAAGAAGCTGGGATGAAGGAAGCAGGAATTAGAGCAATGTGACCACAAGCCTGGGATTGCCCACAGTCTCTGGAAACTGGGAGAGGCAAGACACAGAGTCTGCCTCGGGGTCCTTGAAAAATAACTGATCCTGACAGAATGTTTGATTTTAGCTCCTTAAAACTGAATTCTGAATTCTAGAAATGAAAGATAATAATTTTGTGTTGTTTAAACCATGACATTTGTGATAATATATTACAAAAGGAAACTGATACATGTGGTCATTAGACTGATTTCTTTTTTTCTTTTCTTTTTTTTTTTTTTTTTTTTTGAGATGGAGTCTCGCTCTGTTGCCCAAGCTGGAGTGCAATGGCGCAATCTCGGCTCACTGCAACCTCTGCCTCCTGGGTTCAAGCAATTCTCCTGCCTCAGCCTCCCAAGTAGCTGGGATTACAGGCATGTGCCACCATGCCCATCTAATTTTTTTTTGTATTTTTAGTAGAGACAGGATTTCACCATGTTAGCCAGGATGGTCTCGATCTCTTAACCTCATGATCCACCTGCCTTGGCCTCCCAAAGTGCTGGGATTACAGGTGTGAGCCAACACTGCACCCAGCCTCAACTGATTTCTTTCACTGAGTGTAATATTTCCAAAGTTCATTCACGTAGTATGTCCTTCATGAACTTCATTTCTTTTTCATGGCTTAGTAATATTCCATTCTATGGATGTACAACATTTGGCTTATCCATTCTTTAGTTGACAGACAGTTGGCTTGTTTCCACTTTTGACTATTCTGAATAATGCTTCCGTGAATATTCATAGACAAGTTTACATACGTTTTCACTTCTCTTGGGTATATAGCAAGAAATATTAGGTTAGTGCAAAAGTAATTGTGGCTTTTTACCATTATTTTTAGTAATGGTAAAATAATAATGGGTGTAAATCAGAGTCACAGAAAGCTACAAAAAAAAATCCTATTGCGTAATTTGAAGATAAACACACCAAGCTTTCATTTTGACTGAAAGATTTTACCATTGCTTTTAATGGTAAAAACTGCAATTCCTTTTGCACCAACCTAATACGATGGTATGTACATATAATTCTATTTTAACATTTGAGGAACTGACAAACTCTTCTCCACAGTTGCTAGGCCGGTATACAGTAAAACGAGCAAAATATAAGGTTCTAATTTCTAACATTCTCATTAACAAGTGTTATTTATTTGTTTATTCATTCATTTATTTATTTTTATAACTATCTTAGTAACTGTGAAGTGGTATCTCTTGTGGTTTTGACTTGGATTTCCCTAATGATTGATAATATTGAACTTCTTTTTATGTGCTTATTGGCCATTTGTATATTTTATTTGAATACATATTTATTCAAGTCATTGACACTTTTAATTGGGTAACTGATATTTTTAATTTTAATTTATAAGAGTTATTTCCATATTCTGGATAGTAGACCTTATCTGATATAAACCCTGCAAATATTCTGTAGCTTATCTTTTCACCTTTTTGATTTTTATTTTATTTTATTATTTATTTATTTATTTATTTGAGATGGAGTCTTGCTTTGTCGCCCTGGAGTGCAGTGGCATGATCTCGGCTCACTGCAGACTCCGCCTCCTGGGTTCACGCCATTCTCCTGCCTCAGCCTCCCGAGTAGCTGGAACCACAGGCGCCCGCCACCATGCCTGGCTAATTTTTTGTATTTTGTTTAGTACAGATGGTGTTTCACCGTGTTAGCCAGGATGGTCTCAATCTCCTGACCTCATGATCGCCTGCCTTGGCCTCCCAAAGTGCTGGGATTACAGGTTTGAGCCACCGCGCCTGGCCTGTTTTTATTTTTTGTTTTTTTTTTTTTTGATACAGAAAAGTTTTTTTGATTAAGTCCAATTTGTTTATTTATTGGTTTCTTATGTTTTCGGTGTCAAGTCTTAAAACCACTGCCTATTCTCAGATCATGAAGATTTAGTTATGCTTCCTTCCAAAACTTTCGTAGGTTTAGCTTTTACATATAAACATACAATTAACATATAATCCAGTAACTCTACTCCTAGTTGTATACCCAGAGGAATTGAAAACAAGTCCTTAAGTAGGTGCATGTGCTTTATACTTATAGCAGCAATAATAGAAAGAAACCTGAAAACAACCCAAATGTCCATCAGTGGATGAATGAATAAGCACATTGTGATATATCCATATATTGGAATATTACTGAGCCTTGAAAAGGAGTGAGATATTGTAATACATAACAACATGGGTAAACCTTGAAAAGATGATACTGAGTGGAGGAAGCCAGAAACAAATGGTAACATAATGTACAATTCTATTTATATCAAACATCCAGGTAGATAAATCCATAGAGGCAGAATGCAGATGGAGGTTTTTAAGAGTTGGAGCGTGGGAGGAATTGAAATAAATTACTTAATGGGTAAATGGTTTACTTTGGAATAACGAAACTGTTTTGGAACTAGATAGAAAGGGTAGTTTCACAATATTATGAATATATAAATGCCACTAAGTCTTTCACTTTAAAATGGTTAATCATACGATATATGAACTTCCGCTCAGAAATTACTATAAAGTTATATTTTGGGGTTTATTTTTCTTCTGATATTGCATAAGGACTATGACGTTTTGTCAGCCTGAATTTCTTGAAAGCTACGATAGATTTAATAGAAGATTGCACATATATTCAGCATCCTGGGGTCACCACCAACCATAGGAAAGCAATAACAAGTAAAATGTGGGCCTCTTTGATGAGAACTTCATGGTCCACAGAGGATACATGGGCATAAGGGGATGGAGGCAGAATGTTCTCAGTACCACGAGAAACACATGAGCACAGTGTTCCAAGGGTTTGAATGGAGACAGACACTGGTGTCCTGCAGGGAAGACTTCGGGAGGTGATGTTGGATAGGACCTTGGGGAAGTTAGAAAGCTTTACCAGCATGTGAGGGCTCATATGGAAGTTCCAGGTGTAGGGGACTTAGCAAAGACAAGGATGTAGGAAACACACGGCGTTGAGAAGAGCATGCAGCTTCTATTGACTGAAGGAAAGAGCACATGTTCAGCAGTGAGTCCCAAGTCTCAACACATGATGGACCATGTTCTCAAGCTTTTGCAAACCTGCATACAACTTGTTTATAAGGGAAGACCCTCCTATTCAGACTATACGCATGAATGTTAATTAAAGTGAGGACTCACAAAAAGTGATACATATTTATCTCAGGCATTTTATTTGATTTTAAACTATGTAAACGTTACCAATTTCCCTCCCCTTTCCTGTAAGGCTGTAGCAATCACTCATGGAGCCCTTATCACATTGCCAACATCCCACGTGAGGACGCCACAGCAAAGTCCTGCAGCCTGTGCACAGGTGCCATCTGGAAGTATGGGGGAGATAATGCCTGGGAAGAGGCATTCCTAAATGAATGGGGAATGGGTGTTGGTGGATAAATGCTTCCAGCCATCCATTCCTTGGTTGAGAAATTCTGATATGTGTTCCATACAGCCACCAAAAATCCCAGTTTCCCACTGTTCATAAGCACAAAAGACAACCACATGGCCTCTTCCCCTCTGTATCCTGCTCTTTTCTCTCCTTAAACTCACTCTCAGTGACGCTTCTGGAAACACCTCCCAAATCACCAACCTCCACCAAGATTTTAACTCAGGTTTTATATCAGGGACCCAAACTATGACAAGGCACGGAAATTTTTCTCTAGCCTGGCATGCTGATTGGAGTTCTCCATCTTCTTTCTTGCATAAAATATATCTATCACTCATCTGCTGTAATAATCAGCTTTAAGTAAACTGGAGCAAAACCTAAAGACACTCGAGAAGCAACCAGGATAGAGTCCATGGACGCTTTTATCATTTGTTTCTAAAATTGAATGCTGTTTTCTTTACTCCCAATTTTACAGTCTTTCCTTTCAGCAATTTATATTTATCTAGACTTCCCAATGTATCCAAGGAAGTTTTCATAGAAATAACATCTCTCATTCTTTTCGCCATGTTAAATAATATTTAATTATACTACTCAATTATGATAACAACTAGTCAATCCAAAATGAATCTGCTAAAGGCCTACTAAAAATCTGGAGTCAAATGTAAAGTATATTGGAGTTAGTTATCTTTGTTAGAGGGGCATAAAGGAGGTCAATTTAATTTTCCAAGATCCAGGTAATGATAAATGAATTATGGGGGAAGAAATAGACTATAGATGAACATGAGATTGAAGAGCCAGATTCAATATATATACATGTAGTCAACATATATATTATATTTTAATTAATATATAATATGTTTGTGTATGTATGTATACATATGTGTTTACACAGGCATACACACACAGAAACCTAAAAGCATCTTAAATAATTTTGATGTGATCAGATTGTATATGCCATTCACATGTTAAACCTCAAAATCTCACTGTGCACATTAAAGACGTAAACTGACATGTAGAATGAGTGCAGTCCACATTCGACAAAGAGTCTGGGAAATACGAATCATGTTAAACCTGGAGCCCATTTGGTACAAACTATGCAAACAATCAGTATGGCTCTTGCACTACAGGAATATAGATGAGCCCACACTCAGTTTTACCAGAGGCTTAAGATGACTGGACAGTTTAATTAGACAGGAGGAAACCATCTATTTTTTCCAAAGTGAGAAATTAAGAATTCATTTATTGTCTGGATAGGAATGCTAATGTATAGTTAAACAATTCCTAATAATGAGAAGTACAAACAATAGGACGTTTATCAGCCTTTGTCCTTTATTATAAAATCAAACCTATTAAATGTTACACACATTTTTCTAGCTCAGACTTTCAGCTAAATGTAGAGGAGTTGGGGGAAAGAAAGGAAAAGTTTTCCTGGTTGAATGTATTGAAAATGTTTATCCCTACCATTCTTCCTCTTTATCTAGGGTAAGTTAGTCTCACAGAATATTCACATTGGAAATGAGAATACCAAGAGAATAAAACATGAAACTGAGATTTTGGGGCATTTAGTAAGTTCAAATATATCACCATTGAAAATATGAATGCAATAGAAACCTGGAGCTCCTTCTAGCAATTGACTCAATCTATTTGGCTTGAATTTAGGTCATGATGACATAACAATTGTAAGTTAATGATATCGACAACATAATTGTTTTGCCGTGCTTTGAAGTACCATTGAGATGTAGAAATACGTTTCCTAATGGTGTGCACTGCCAATAGCATCAATGAGCTGTCAGAGGGAGGCCAACATAATTTGGATTTGATATATTCATGGGCAAGAGAACTATGTGCTTAGAATTAAGGATAAGATAAGATAATGCAAGACAGAGTAGATACTTCTGTTTTTATTTCTTCTTGTCTTTTTTAGTACCTCTTTCTCTTCTTAAGAACACCCCAATTTATTTGTGTGTGAGAGAGAATTTAAGACAGCTCCGACTCTCCAGTGTTTAAAAACTGGGTAAAAATCCCCAACTAAACCAACAAGGTTCCTCTTTCTGAGCGGAAAGACAAATTGCTTGATGACGTTCCAAGTTCCGTTCTCTCAAGGTCCCTTTCATTTTTCCAGATGGCTCCTGACAAGAGGCTGCTGGGGAGGCTCCTGCTCCCTGCCTTTCGGGACTGCCGTGGATTGCCCATTGATGGGTCAAAATCCAGCTACCTGGTAATTCAATGAGTCCCTAGTGTGCATCCAATAAATTATCTTCTGTTTAAATTAGAACAAACTGTTTTTAATCTGTGTGCTAAGAATCTCATTAAATGCATCATAAATTTCAAAATCAAAAACTAAATAAAACATTTATCTATCGAGTACTAAAATTTGCCTGGGTCCTCTTAAGTGTATGTGGAATCCATGCTTTCAAAACTCGATAACTTTTCTTCTCCAATAATCCGTACAGCAATTATTCCCCCGCAAAGTTAATTAACATCCTGTGATCATATTTTTGGTGAGTGCTCCATAGGTTCACGGACTGAAGAAATAGATGTACTTGAAAAGATGTCAGTGAAGATAAAAAAGGCAGGGGAGAAATTTTGTACCAAAATACAGACATACTGGCTAATTACATTTTTTTAAACTTTACAAAAAAAAGAAGTAAGACTTTTAGCTCAACACTCCACACACAATTCCCACCATCAACTGCACAGCACATGAAACAGAGTATTTTAAACATACACCAAAATCTAGATATTTCAATTCATTTATATACTGTCTCTCTCAACTCTCTAAATTTACCTGCCCACTAAAGCTGGATTCTCATATTCCCTCATCTAGTGTTGTCCCTTAGCCGTGGTGTCCTAGGCCACTTTAGCAAAATAATATAAGCAGAAATGGCATGTATCACCTTGAAGCAGAATGCTTCAAATACAGCTTTATCTTCTCTAGTTAATCATTCTCTTTCTCCGGGCTTGACTCAGACAAACATGGTCACTGTGGAAGCCACGTGTAGAAGGTTGTGGAATCACAAAACACAAAGGGCTCAGTTTCTCATGACCACTTAGAGGAGGGCCATATGTGATCAAGAACAATTGCTTTGTTATTAGAAGTCATACACATAAAAGAAATAAACTTCTATCAAGTTTGAGCTATTCTGTATCTTTGGATTTGTTTGTTACAGCAGTCAGCATTACCTTAAGTGAGAGAGAGAGAATGCTGCACTGCAGACGTTTGCATAGTTTGTGTGACATAGGCCTGAAGATATACATTTCTTTCGTTCACTCAATAAATAGTTATAAAAATTCTACTCTATGCTAGATAGTCTGCAAAAGCTGTTGATAAAATGTAGTTTATCATTTTTGGAGCATATCATGTATTAATCTTCTTGGTTTCAGAGTCACCTTATAATCTTAAAATTTATTGATGACCCTGAAGGTCTTTTGTTTCTGTGTATTATATGTGTATTTGCATTTACTATATTAATCATTGAAACTAAACTTTTAAAAAATATTCATGCATTCATTTAAGACAATATAAATATATCGTAGGTTAACACAAATCACAAATTTTTTTTATGAAAATGACTTTACTCTGCAAACCAAAATGTATGGGGATTTTACATTTTTGCAAATATGTTCAATGTCTTAGAAAAGACAGCTGAATTCTCAGATCTGCTTCTTCATTTACTGTGTTATGACAGCTTGTTTTGATTGAAGTATATTAAAAATATAAAGCCCTCCTCAGATGGAAAAATAGAATTCAAAAAACCTATTCAGATAAATGTAGCTATTCTTCTTTGATACTATACCCAAAATCAACACGTTGCATTTAAAAATTATTAGGTGTATTATGGATTTGAAACTATATCAATATGCATTTCCTACTCTGCTATATTAAAATCCATTGGTATCTCTTGCGTATCGAATAGTTCTTTTAGCTCTGTTGGATTTTGTAACATGATGCATTAATCGTTTGAAAGAGTTTGGTTCACTGTTTCTTCAGATCTTTTCTTTTTCACAATATATTTTTTAAAATCATATTTATTCATGTCTCAGTGATCTCATTAGCAGTCTTGAGTATTGAAAACATATTAAGCTTGTGATGATAGATACAAAGTTTCAAAAATTATTATTGTTACTTGAAAGTTCAGATTTTATCTTGGGTATCAAATGTCATCAGTTTCCCCCCGCCCTTGAAGTGACAAGCAGCTCACTTGATTCATATTTGAGAAAATGTCTGCCAAATTCCAAAATCTGAATAACTCACAGTTTGTCAGTTTGTCTTTCATACAAAAAAAGGACTTCCATGAACGTTTTTTTTTTTTTAGCTAAGAACTCAAACAATAACATAATTCTTTTTTTTTTTTTTTTTTTTTTTTTTGAGACGGAGTCTTCCTCTGTCTCCAGGCTGGAGTGCAGTGGTGCGATCTCGGCTCACTGCAAGCTCCGCCTCTTGGGTTCACGCCATTCTCCTGCCTCAGCCTCCCGAGTAGCTGGGACTACAGGCGTCCGCCACCACACCCGGCTAATTTTTTTATTTTTTTTATTTTTAGTAGAGACGGGGTTTCACCCTGTTAGCCAGGATGGTCTCGATCTCCTGACCTCGTGATCTGCCCGCCTTGGCCTCCCAAAGTGCTGGGATTACAGGCATGAGCCACCGCGCCCGGCCACAGAATTATTTTTTTATGATAAACATTATACTCCAATATGCAGTAGAAGTGCTTTATGCTTTATACGATCTTCTTATGTCCTGACACGAAATACTTAGAGATGTATGCTCAAGTGCTGAGATTTAATAAAACTGATGATCTTCCCTTTATCAGAAGGTTTAGTTGTGATGTCAGGGAATCTCACAGTAACCACCAGCGCCTTTCCATCCCACTGCCTTGCTCGATGCTAAGGCACCTGCGGTATCACCCCCTGCCATTTTCCTCCTTCAGGGCAAGCATCGACACACTAGTTCCAGAATGAACCATGAGTACAACGTTTTCCAACATTTCTGTATTTGAGTACCACTGCACTTTCATCACATAAAAGACAATCTTTGATGGCTACTTAGTGCTCATGCCAGATAAAAATAGCAAGCCCCGGTGGACTTACGGACTCATCCATTTTTATCTTTTTAATTCTTTCACTTTTTATGAATTATGAGTTTATTATAAAAGAGGGAGATGGAAATTATTTAACTGATGAGAGATTTCAGAACTTCAGCGGAGTGGGCAGCTTCGTGCGGATGTCATTTCAACAGTGATTTATTTCAGTCTAAATACTTTCCAAGAATGTTATTATCTCTAAAGAAGAAAGAATCCTTGTCATCTAAACTGACTTTGATGCCTCTGTATTCTGGGAGAAGAACTTTATCTCCAACTTTTACACTAACTGGTTGAATATCTCCACCCTTTCCTTTAGAGCCCAATCCAATAGCTATGCCTGTTGCTTGCACGACAGGTTCCTTGAGATTTTTCTGGAGGCTTAACGCCTCCTTCGGTTACAGTTTTGGTGGGACTCTTTTTGGCCAATACTCATCAAAGAGTGGAAGGAACTTTCTCTTTTTTTTTGAGATGGAGTTTCTCTCTCGTTGCCCAGACTGGGCAACAATGGCGCGATCTTGGCTCACTGCAACCTCCGCCTCCTGGGTTCAAGCGATTCCCCTGCCTCAGCCTCCTGAGTAGCTGGGATTACAGGTGCCTGCCACCAAGCCCGGCTTTTTTTTTGTATTTTTAGTAGAGGTGGCCAGTATGTATTTCACCATATTGGCCAGGCTGGTCTTGAACTCCTGACTTCAGATGATCTGCCTGCCTCGGCCTCCCAAAGTGCTGAGATTACAGGCGTGAGCCACCGCGCCCGGCCGAGTGGAAGGAACTTTCTAAAGGCTGGTCCTGCCATCACTCCTGGTTCCGCAGCTCATCCTCATCCATTTTCAAGGCAAACATATGATGCCGCCTATGAGATATTAACCCAGTCTTCATGTTGACAGCTAAGTCTTTCTGTTAGTGGGATACTGTATCATGGGAAAGTGGAGGTTCTGTCATTTGTTTTCTAGAGTTTCACCTGGGAGGAACCCAGCCACGCCAACCCTGCAGAGCTCTGACCTTCCCTTGCCCACTGTGTACACCTCTTTAGTCGATACCACATCATAATTTACCCTTCAAAGCATCATGTTTGTTTTTCCCTTCTATTATGAAAAACAGCAACAAAGAAGTCGTGACTTTAATGAGCATATATTAGTGTGCATATTGGTGCAAAAGTTATTGCAGTAATAACTTCACCAAAAATAATCAATGCCTTCTTTCAACTTGAAAAGATTAATCACAAAACAATACTGAAGTCTATCTTACACCATATTATTATTTGAGATGTTCCTTAAATACGATACAAGAAATTAACACATTAAGTTAAGGGGAATATATATTTTTTCCTATTTTATTTACCATTTAAATTCCACCTAGATTGAAAATTTTATTTTTTTAATTGACAAATAATAATTATACATTTTAATGGGGTATCTAAGAATGTTTCTATATATACACAACACAGAGTGATCAGATCACAATGACCAGCATGTCCATTTTCTCAAACACTTACTCATTTTGTTGGGAATGTTTAATATCCTCCTTCTAGCTATTTGAAACTACATAATATTTTTTTAAGGTAAAGCTGTTGTATTAAATGTCTATTCTTTAAGGACTGGGAGAATGACATAACAAGCTTGAGCAACATGTGTAAACACATGTGAAATGCGGTTTGATTTCAGTAGTTTACTAGGAGAAAAAGCTGTGCAAGAGGCCGGCCACACTTTCCTGCTTCCCCGGGGCTCAGGGTTAGAACTAGGAAAGGCGTACAGATGTTAATCAAGGTTCAACACTCAAGTCATGTAAACGTAGTTAGTCATTGGGCCCTCAGTTTCCAAAAGAGCTAGGCACTTCTAATGGCTTCCGCCCCTCACCCAAGCCCTGTGCCTCCCTTCTCAAAGGGGGCAACCCCCGCCAAGCCCAGCTGATCCAGGGAAACTGTATAATACCTTATTGTTAACTATATTCATGCTGCAGTGATACAGAACAGTAGAACTTATTTCTCCAAGCTAGCTATAATTTTGTATCCCTTTTTTTTTTTGAGATGGAGTCTCAATCTGTCACCCAAGTGAGAATGCAGTGGCGTGATCTCAGCTCACTAGAGCCTCCGCCTCCTGGGTTCAAGCAATTCTCCTGCCTCAGCTTCCTGAGTAGCTGGGATTATAGGTGCTCACCACCATACCTGGCTAATTTTTGTATTTTTAGCAAAGACGGGGCTTCACTATGTTGGCCAGGCTGGTCTCGAAGTCCTTTAACAAATGTCACCTT
Source organism: Homo sapiens (assembly GCF_000001405.40). Lineage (NCBI taxonomy): Eukaryota > Metazoa > Chordata > Mammalia > Primates > Hominidae > Homo > Homo sapiens. Next base: position 126,910,243 of record NC_000012.12, on the reverse strand, counting down.
CTCCCTCCCTTTCTCCTCTATTTTCTAGCCTCTAGATTTTTTTGAGCAGATTTCTCCCTTTCATGAGATAGAGAACTATTTCAGCAGTCATTTTTAATTTTTCAGCATTTTTATGTAGATAGTGCTGTTTTAGCTTGAGAAAGCCAGTCTTCAGGTCTCACTTTTGAAGTTCTATCCATCTTTAAACAAAGAAAACCATATTTTAAATAATATTCTGATATTTTAGGATAAAATCCCATTGAATGGTAAAATTGCAGATTTGGAAAAAATAAAACTGTGTCAGTTTTTGAAAAGCAAGTTATCATTTCAAAGCTAGATAATAGGGTATCTCTTGTGTTTTTTCACAGGCTCAAGGAAAACTCTGTGTCTTCAAAATAATGTCTTATTGAATGATAATGAGGTTCCAACATTCCGCAAATAAAGCTGAAGATAAATAGTAGAGAGTCAGGAGAAGCACTAAAAAGAAACAATTATTTTCTGAAAATGTACACATTTTTTTTCTAATTTTTCAGTCTTGGAACATTTTAAGAAACACAAGAACACACAGGCACACACCCCATGAGTCTTCACAGCAGTGACATCGCCACACATCAGTAGAAAACTGCCCTGTACACATCTAAGAGATTTTTGAGTGAAAAAGGCACCAGCATCTTAGTATTATTATATAAAATGTTGTGATATTCTAGACCCCTTGAATGATTGCCTGAGACCCCCCAGTGATTTTCTGAGCACATTCGTAAGAGCATTCTCCCAGAATTTACAGTTTAGAGGATAAAGCTATGTAACAATCCTCCCTCCCATTTATATGATATTCATCTCCTATTTATATGGTATCCAGATATATTTTCTCACATTCAATAACTCATTTGACTCTCCCAATATCCCTGCAATGTTGTAAGTACACCACGGAGGGATCATGGTCACTTTCCAGGCATGAAAACTGAGGCCCTATAGCTTGCCCACATTTACAAATTTCCTAAGTATCTGAGTCAGGACAAATTTTATGACCTTTGCACATATATTTTTCTTCAGAACATTTATCACATCCAGGATAGATACTGCATGTGTGCACATGATGTCAGAAGCTCAAAATCAGAAAAGAAATGTAACGGGGGGGAGCCAATTAAAAAGAGAAGAAAGTGCAAATAAAAACTCAAGCAGTGAAGTCTGACATAAAATATCTTCTCTCTTAACATGAATAAGCCCATTATTCCCTTTTCTAACCTCACTCAGAGCTAAGTGATCCTCTCTGGAGGTAAAGAGCATTTTAAGCTTGTCTTTCCTTGCCTTCAGTGCCCCCAATCACCCACTCCTGACATGCATGTCTCTTTCTGCCACTTTTCCTGTCAAATACGTGAAAAAATCCTGCTTAATTATTTCCATCTTAGGGTAAGTCTTTCTTCGCTAAGACTGACATTAAAAATGTCAGTTTACAAAGAATGAGATGCAGAAGAAAGATATTTTTAAGAACCTCCTTCCTTATCTGTCATCTGTCACCTTTATTCTCAAAAATTAAGACAATAAAGCAAACGGAAGCAAACATATAATTCACAACCCAATGCAAATTTATTTCCTTTAACAAGAGTTTAGAAAACTGTAATTGATGGAAGAAATAATATTTTAAAATAATAACTCTGTGGATGATTTGACATTCCCTATTTTTTGAAGTGAGCTTCTCACAAGATGAATGGTGAGTGCTTTTGAGGAACTGTCAGAGGTGTTTGAACCAGTGCCACTCCATCTTGAATAGGTCCTGGGTAAAAAAAGACTGAGGCTTTCTCGGGTGCATTCCCAGGCAGTTAGGCATTCTAAGTCACAGGATGAGATAGGAGGACAGCACAAGATACAGGTCATAAAGACCTTGCTGATAAAACAGTCTGCAGTGAAGAAGCTGGCCAAGTCCCACCAAAATCAAGATGGCGACAAAACAGACCTCTGGCTGTTCTCACTGCTCATTATACACTAATTATATTACATTAGCACGCTAAGAAACACTTCCACCAGCACCATGACAGTTTACAGATGCCATGGCAACCTCAGGAAGTTGCCCTATATAGTCTAAAAGGGGGAGGAACCTTCAGTTCCAGGAACTGCCCACACCTTTCCTGGAAAACTCATGAATGATCCACACCGTGCTTAGCATGTAATCAACAGATAAGTATGCTCAGTGGAACAGCCCATGCTGCTGCTCTGCCTATGGAGCACCCATTCTTTATTTCTTTGCTTTCCTAATAAACTTGCTTTGACTTTATGGACTCCTCTCAATTCTTTCTGGCATGAGATCCAAGAACCCTCTCTTGGGGTCCAGATCGTGACCCCATTCCAGTAACAGGACTGTATCATCAATAGCAATTGCTAGTAAAGCAAATTGTCAAATAAAATATATTGAGATGTTTACTAAATATTTTTAAAGGGACAAATAACAGAGGGCATGCAACTGTGATCATCTTTGATCTAACAATGCTTTAAGGAGATTATTTTCTGAAATTGAGAAATTAAACTGAGCAAAATAAATCATCATATTGAATTAAAGAAAACACTTAAAAGACAATTTTCCTTTTTTTTTTTTTTTAACAGACTCTCACTCTGTAGCCCAGGCTGGAGTGCAGTGGTGTGATCTCAGCTCACTGCAACCTCCACCCACTGGTTCAAGTGGTGCCTCAGCCTCCCGAGTAGCTGGGACTACAGGCGCATGCCACCACGCCCGGCTAATTCTTTTGTATTTTTAGTAGTCACCGTGTTACCCAGGATGGTCTCAATCTCCTGACCTCGTGATCCGCCTGCCTCGGCCTCCCAAAGTGCTGGGATTACAGGCGTGAGCCACCGCGCCCGACCACAGTTTTCCTTTTAAGAGTAGGAATTACCATTCATGTTCCATTACCAAATTCAGGATGTAAATTCCCTCAGTCTGTTCTCTACAATGGCCTGAGTAGCAGGAAAGGAAAATTCCCCAATAAAATGAAAGGGGTTTGAAAAAATTACCTTATTAATTGTGCCCTAATAATGTGGGCTCATTACTTTTTTTTATAGAAGAAATGATGCACAGGGTAGACAGAGAAAAATGGTAGATCTTGAATTAACTGGCAAAAAAATCCTACAGGCAGTAACTAACATCTGGACCAGTAAATTACCGGGATAAAATAAGTGGCTTTGTTGATGTGAAGAGATTTAAATGGGTGTAAACAGCTGCAAATGAGACAGGAGAGCACTCAAAGAATTTAAATAAGAGTAAGGTAATTAAAGTCAAGTGTAGTAGAAAAAAACATGCAAAAGGCAATGAGTGGTCATATTTCTTGAAGGGTCTCTCCCCCAAACTGAGTACACAGCAAAATTCAGATGAAATCCCTGCATGAAGATATCTCAAAGGGTAATCACAAAAGAGCTCTCTAGAACCACATGGAGAGGGAAAAGGAGGATTTCCAACAAGACGTGGCCAAGGAGGTCTTGGGGAAAAAATAAGAGAATTTCTGCCAAGAAAGTACATCTTCCAATGACATAACCAAGAACCAAGAGATTTTTAAGCCTGTTAGAAGCCAATGTAGACCCACCAAGTTTCTGTATTAGGCAATGTTAAGCCATTTGGATTCTGAGACACTTATTCTTCCTTTATGTTCAATTGAAATAGAATTGATTATTCCCTTGGTGAATATTTAATGAGCTCTCCTTTCAGCCTCCCTGTGTGCCAGGTGCAAGGAGACCAAGAGAAATGAGGTCCTTCCCTCATGGAACTTAACAGCATAGAAAACAAAGATTTCTTCCTCAAAGGTTGTTTACAAAAAGCAAATTTGCACATGTGAAACCTGTTAGGAAAAAGCACACTGAGAGCAATAAAAAGTGACAGCATGCAGCAATAAGATTAGACATTAAAAAACTAAGAGAAAAACCCCAGAAACATGCTTGTCTGAGAGCGGTATATAAAGCAACAAATGGGATTAGTTAGGCAGCTTCAGAGGCCTCACTGCATCCAATGCTGGTACCCGACCAACAGCCAATGCTCATAGTGATGATTTTCAGTCAGATGCACACACACACACACACACACACACACACACAGTGAAACACACAGACACACACAGACACACAGCCTCACACACATGCACACACAGTCACACACAGTCACACATACAGACACAGAGTCCCACATACCAACACACACAGGTACATGCACACAGACTCAGATGCACACACATACACACAGACACAGTCACACAGAGACACACACATGGACACACATGGATACACACAGTCACATACACACATGCGCATACACAATCACACACACGGACACACACACACAGTCTCACACACACACAGTCACATACCCACAGACATACACACAGACACACAGACACACATAGACAGACACAAGACACACACAGTCACACACACAGACACATACACACAGACACAGACACACACAGTCACTCACACACAGACACCCACACAGTCACACAAGCACTCAGACACATTATCATATATTCCTCATATTCTGCTTAAAGGACAAGAAAGCACAACACATTTTGGAAGGATACTGCAAAATATGGTTGTACTAAAGTTTTGTTGCTTAAAGAATATATGTGTCAGAGGCGTTTGAAGCAGTGCAACTCCCATGTTGAATAGGGGCTGGGTAAAATAAGGCTGAGACCTACTGGGCTGCATTCCCAGGAGGTTAAGGCATTCTAAGTCACAGGATGAGATCACAGGTCGGCACAAGATACAGGTCACAAAGACTTTGCTGATAAAAGGATGCTGTAAAGAAGCCAGTCAAATCCCACCAAAACCAAGATAGCAACAAGGGTGAGCTCTGGTGGTCCTCACTACTCATTATATGCTAATTAGAATGCATTAGCATGCTAAAAGACACTCCCACCTGAGCTATGACAGTTTACAAATGCAATGGCAACATCAGGAAGTGACCCTATATGGAATAAAAAGGTGAGGAACTCTCAGTTCCAGGAATTGCCTACCCCTTTCTCGGGAAAATTCATGAATAATCCACTCCTTGTTTAGCATGTAATCAAGAAATAACCATTAAAAAGAGGCAACCAGCAGCCCCTGGGGCTGCTCTGTCTCTGAAATAGCCATTTTTCATTTATTTACTTTCCTAGGAAACTTGCTTTCGCTTTACTCTATGGACTCACCCCGAATTCTTTCTTGCGTGAGATCCAAGAACCTTCTCTTGGGTACTGGATCAGGACCTTTCCAGTAACATCCATTTTTGGTGTATATTAGAATCACATGTTGTTAGCAACGTCAGATGCATGAGTTTTCTGAGCTGTGATCTGATATCTGTTTTGCTTAATTTGTTGCCAAGCATTACACATAGAAGTTATTCAGGCCAAGATGGTGAAACCCTATATCTACTAAAATACAAAAATTAGCCAGGTGTGGTGGTGGGTACCTGTAATCCCAGCTATTCAGGAGGCTGAGGCAGGGAATTGCTTGAATCCAGGAGGCGGAGGTTGCAGTGAGCTAAGATCGTGCCATTGCACTCCAGCATGGGCAACAGAGTGAGACTCAGTCTCAAAAAAAAAAAAAAAAAGTTATTCAGGGCCAGTCTCAGTGTCTCACACCTGTATTCTCAGCACTTTGGAAGGCTGAGGTAGGAAGATCCCTTGAGCCCAGGAGTTCAAGACCAGCCTAGGTAACATAGGAAGACCCCATCTCTACCAAAAAATAAAAGAAAAAATATAGCCAGGCATGGTGGTGTGTGCCTTCAGTCCCAGCTATTCAGGAGGCTGAGGCAGGAGGATTCCTTAAGCCAGGGAGGTAGAGGCTGAAGTGAATCATGATTGCACCACTGCACTCCAGCCTGGGCAACAGAGCAAGACCCTGTCTCAACAACAACAACGAGTTGTTTGTTGTTTAGCCCAGGATTTCTATCTCCTCCATCTGATGTGGTCAGTGACTCAGATGTATGAAGATATTGAGCAGGAGTCACCAGTTCAGTAGGGGATACTCAGTAAATCAGAAATAAGATCCAGAGAAGGGGTGAGCAGAACTAACCCATGACCTCAAGTTCATTTGTAGGATAGATTTTAGGAGACATAACTGCAAGGATAAAAAGCACCACACCAAGAAGGGTTAATCCAGTCATCAGTTCTTGACACCAAAGGTCATTCCTGATGTTTCTGAAGCTCACCAGGGCCCAGAGGGCATGCATTTGGAAGGGTGGCACAACAGGTCTAATGTCTTCTCAGAGCATACCTCAAAATGAAAAGATTGATTTTGGTCACTGAAGGTCTCATTTACAGAAATAGATTTCCAATAAGGAGGTATTGGTAACTTTATTCAGAGCTGTGCGGAGAGATGCTATCCAGAATTTGAAGTCGCTAAACAGCTTTCTAAAACCAGGACTATTAATGTACTATTTGGAAGCTTTGGAAGAAACTTTTCAGCCTGGTTGAGTTAAATACCAAAGTTGAAATTCAGAAAGGTGCTATTAAATTATAAACTTAATGCAGGTAAAGAGTAGAACAGTTTCCCCTTCACTGTACTGCAGATTGTAAAATACCACCTAATTTTCTATATCATTTTGTACCACTCCAAAAACCTAGAAGAGTGAACAGGGCTGCGAACTCTCTCCATGAGACTCTGAGCATCCACGTGGGGAGTGCATTTGTCAAAGACATTTGAACCTGAGCAACTCCATCTTAAACAGGAACTGGGTAAAATGAGGCTGAGACCTACTAGGCTGCATTCCCAGGAGGCTAAGCCATTCTAAGTCACAGGATGAGATAGGAGGTCGTCACAAGATACAGGTCACAAACTTTGCTGATGAAACAGGTTGCAGTAAAGAGGCCAGCGGAAACCCACCAAAACCAAGATGGCGATGAGCATGACCTCCGGTTGTCCTCACTGCTACACTCCCACCAGCGCCATGATAGTTTACAAATGCCATGGCAACGTCAGGATGTTACCCTATATGGTCTAAAAAGGGGAGGCATGAATAATCCAACTCTTGTTTAACATATCATCAAGAAATACCATAAAAATGGGCATTTAGCAGCCCTCAGGGCTCCTCTGTCTGCAGAGTGGCCATTCTTTTTTTCCTTTTCTTTCCTGATAAAATTGCTTTCACTTTTCTCTATGGACTCTCCCTGAATTCTTTCCTGTGCGAGATCCAGGAACCCTCTCTGGGGGTCTGGATCAGGACCCCTTTCCTGTAACACACTGACCCTCCCCAGTGTCAGGATCTGTGCCAGTGCCCTGAAGGTGGAGTTCTCAGAGGCTGCCCCTTCTGGTTCCTACCTTCTGAGAATTGCTAGGCCAACTCCTGCAGGTAGGTGGAATTCCTCTCCTTTGCGATTACATCAGCGTCTCTTAACTCTTGTCATCAGAGAAGTAGAGAGTAATCATCTTGAAATTAAAGCTGTGAGTTCTCAGTAAATTATAAAAGGTGACTCAGTAAAGGAAAATAAAGCTTTAGGGGAAGGGCAAAGCAGATGGAGTGAAACAAAGTGTGATTAGGAATTTCAAATACAGAATATGAAATTAAAATAGTAGCTGGTTCATAATATACACGAGTGAATTAAATACAGATCACTGAACATATTTCCCCTCTGAGGACATTTCTCTCTTCTTCCTCTTTGTTCATAAAGGAAATGCTAACATGTATATGAAGGAAGGAAAAAAGAAAGGGAAAGAGAAAGAGGGAGGAAGGGAGGAAAGGAGGGAGGGAGAAAGAAAGAAAGATTTTCCCTATATAATTTTCAATTTTGTCAATAAAAAGCATATACTTCTTTAACCGTTTAATATGAATCTTGCTAATTGTAGCAAATTGTTATTTCTTATAAAGGATGCATCATGCAAAACATTGTCTCACCCAAGCTTGTCAGCTTCTTCACAAGATTACAAAGTTGAGAGCAGCTGAGGCAAAACCGCTCTGGTATGTGATCTGTGGAATCCTTCTCATTCACAACAGGATTTTCCTATGAGGGGTCAAACACTTTCAGTTGGCTTTCAAGAAACCACAAATCTAAATTAAACAAGTAGGCAACACATGACAGAGGGCCATCATTTTATGGCAGGATCCTCCAATTAGCTGTAATGGCTACAAATCAAGAAAAGGTTAAATATTTCTGAATAATTTTAGATTTTGGGAAAAGGGAAGCAAAGAACATAAAGATTGTGTTTTATGATCTCATAAATCTCTCTTGGATTAAAAAACAAAAAATCCCTGATACTTTGGGAGGTAGGGTATACTGGAAAGTATTTCTTAGCTTTAACAGGGAATAAGCTATTAAAATTTTTGAAAAGCCAAAAAAAAAAAAAAAAAAAAAAGGATGCATCATTTCCTGTGATACGAGTGACAGGTAACAGGATAAAAACAGTAATAAAGAGAAAAATGTGATGAGAATCAAGATGTGCAGTAGTTATTTTAATTTTAAAAGTCAAATAATTCTCTCACTCGTAGGGTTAACTAAATGTTGAAAGCATTCTCTTATTCCTCTGCTGGGTTGATGGTGTATAGAAAATGCAAACATTACTTATTTTTTACAGAATCATTAATCATGGTGCAGGGTTAACATATGAAGACCTAGGGATTAGGTCTAATTATTACTTGGCATAAAATCCATTCAAGAAATATGTTTTCGTAAGAAAAAATGTACATTATGAAAATATGTTGACCTTTTGCCTCTGCTCCATAGGACTTCAGGGAGCAAAGTTATGTAGATGTCCTGGTTAAAATGGATTTTTTTTTGAGGGTCAAAACATTGAGGGTACAAGGAATCATTCATCCTAGGAGGTTAAGGCAGAAAAAAGAATGTTAGCAGGTTTTTCCCCTTCATTTCCATAAAAGCTTGATTTACAAACAAACTATACCTACTAGGGAAAAAACAAAGAAAGAAAAGGAGTTGATTTTGTCTTCTTGAACCCTTGGCGCTGAATTTTTGTCTGTTTTACTGGCAGTTAGACGACACTAATAGCTGAGAAAGCATCATAATGGAAGAATCAAGAAATTGATAGTAATCATATGGGATGAAATAAATTAAAAGCTTACATTTTGTAGCCCATTACACTGTGGTCTACATAACATTAAATTATTCAAATGAAATTGTAAAAAAGATCGGTTAATCAGCATTTAGTAAAGATGTCAAATTGTACCCCCCCACTCCTTCCCAAACACCACTAAAATGCAAATATTGATTCTGTTTGTAAGTCATAAACCCAAGAGACAAAGGGAAAAGGAGAGGATGTAATAAAAAAAAACAAACAAGAAACGGAAGTTGGCAAACAGTGGGGGGTCCCAGCAAGTTAAATCCTATACCAGTGGGGAGGGAAGGGGAGTCAAACAGCAATCACATTTATTCCACAGAGTTTGCCCCCCTCCCCAGTTCCAGGCACCTGGATACTGTGGAGGAAAAGGTAAATATTAAATTTGAACTCAATTGAAAGTGGACACAAACAATGGTCACCAAGTCCCGGAACAGGTTGTGTGAGCACCTTGAGGCGTTCATCTAGCGCTGTTTCAGAGAAATCTCTATTTTGATGTATTCCTATACGTCAGTTATTGAAAAACGATAGACAATTGCAAAAACGAGTTGACCTTTTTGTGTTCCTTGAGCCAAGTCGCAAGGGGCCCTCGTGACTGGGCCTCATGCCAAACAACTCGTTACAAAAAGAGCTCGGGTCCCAGACTGTGCCGAAGCTTCCTGAGACCTCTCCTCGGCCGTGCACGGACGAGTGGCCGACTCTGGAACCCAGGCTGCTCCTTCCCGGTCTGGGGGTGAATCCTCCATAGGCTGGTGAGTGTAAATACATGCATCTTTTCCCTTCTCCCCTTCCCATTGTAATTTGCGTATTGTATCATTTGCTTATTATATGATTTGCTTACTGTATCTGTATTGCCATATACTTGGGATAAAGGCTGTTTACCCTTAAAGGTATTGTGTGTGTGTGTCTTTTCTTCTCCCCTGCGCGTTTCCCGCACAGAACAGATACCCGCCCTCACTGATGTTGGATTCTTCTCCGCAGACAGCAAAGAGAAAGTCTCCGGCCTGGCTGGAAATGAGCGTCCATACTGAGCACATGCAAGGGTGCACTGAACACTGGGATGCACAGTCTCTTCCTCAGCCGTGCTCCAGGGTGATGACGGCAGATCAAGACCCTCCTCACAGGAGACCGGATGCTCCTTCTCTGAAGAATTTGACCAAGGCAAGAAGAAATGCCTAAAGCAGCCGGCATGAAGGCTTCAGGAATGAAACAACCCAGCAGATCACCCTACAGGGATCAGCCCCGGCAACCAGCCGCAGGCTCCACTGCTTAGTTCCCACTTTCTGACATGGACAAGCAAAAAAGACCACCACACACGAGGACACCCTTCAACGTAAATGACACCAAACAAAAAATAAAACAAGCAAACACACGTTGGCAGTCCAAGGCAGGAGGACAGCTTTGAGCTCAGTAGTGTGAGATCAACCTGGGCAACATAGCAAGACCTCATTGCTACTAAAAATAATAACAATAGAATAATCAGCTGGGCATAGTGGCATGCACCTGTAGTCCCAGCTACTTGGGAGGCTGAGGAGGGAGGATCGCTTGAGCTCAGGAGGTCAAGATGGCAGTGAGCTATGATCCTGCCACGGCACTCCAGCCTGGGCAACAGAGTGAGACCCTGTCTCCAAAACAAAACAAAACAAAACAAAACAAAACAAAACAAACAAAAAACCAAGAAATCAAAAAGAGTAAAGCAACCCTGAAGAAAAAGGAACTCTGAAAGGAGAAGGAAAACTGTTCTTTGCTATTTTAGCAAAGAATCAAGACAGAAAAAGAAGCATGGTATTTTGAGCTCTGGAGATTAATATTTAAAGTACAAAAGTAGTAAAGAATGATTGCCTGTGGTCTAGGGGAAATATGGAAGGGATGAAAAACTGTTTCATACTTCTTGTTTTTTGTTTCCTTTCTCTTTAAACAACGCTTTCCGATTATTTGAATTTTCTAGATAAGTACAGGCATCGTTCTGATTTTCAAAAAAATTGGCTACTAATCATGCCTGTTTTTCTTTTCTGTATTTTTTTTTCTTGGCAATGCAGATTCTTCAACTCAAAGACTTCTATAGCACACTCTTCACATACATATACTTACACACACACACACACAGATGCAGATTCACACATATGACATACAAGGGCATGGAGTCCTACACATGCAACAGTACAGATGTTATTTCTAGGCAATAGCTACAAACAATTTGAACACACCAGTTATGTGGGAATGTGTCTAGATGTCTGTATGGTCATATCCATATTACCTATTCCCTTGGAAGTGCTGCACACGTTCTGCAGCCTGGCACCCAAGTACCGTAATGCTGTGGCCACAACATGCATTTTCATTTCCAGCTTGATCTCTCTCCCCTTCTCGCTCTCTCCCTTCTTCCATTTCCCTTCTCTCCTCTTGCTCGCTTCTTCTCTTCCTCTCTCTTTTCCTTCCCCATTCTTTCTCCTCCTTCTTCTGTCTCCCTCCTTCTCTCTCTCCCTCTCTTGTGCTCCTCTCCTTTCTAGCCCTCTCTCCCTCTCTCTCCCCTTCCTCTCTTTCTCTCCTATCTCTTCCCCCCGTCTCTCTCCCTCTCTTCCCCCAACTACCTCCCTTTTTCTCCTCTTTCTTCCCCACTTCCTCTCCCTTTCTGCCTTCTCTTCCTCCCTCTTCTCTCCCTCTCTCTTCTCCTTCTCTACCTCTTTCTCCCCCTCTCTCTTTTTCCCCCTTGCCCTCTCTCTCCCTCCCTATAGCTCTCCCTCCCCGCCTTTCTTTCTCTTCGAATTGCTGTGACAGATGCTATTCCAGTGTCTGTCTTTGTTGCAGGCAGGGCCCAGGTCCCACTCATTCTTAAGAAAATCACAGAAGTTTGTTTTCTTAGCCTCTCTAGCAGTCACAGGTAGCCACATTGACCTAGCTTTTGGTAAATGAGATGTAAGATGTCTGCCAGAATCTTCTAGGGGGAAAAATTTCTCTGATAAAAAGAAAGATGCAACGTGCAAATTTCATCTTCACCCACCCTGCTCCCTTATGATATGTGAGCTGTGCTGCTGTCTGGAGCTGCGGCAGCCTCCTGCAACCATGGGGAGAAAACCTGCAAATGCAGCCATAGACTGATAAAAATAGAATAAAAAGAAAGACCTTAAATGCCAAAGGACATAGTTGAGCAACTAAAAGTTCCGATAAATCCCCTTCCTCTGACTTGTTCTCATGAGCATCTTTGGTATTGCTGTTTAAGCCATTTCTCATTATGTATTCTGTCACTCCAAGCTCAGTGCAAGCATCTGAAAGAAATGCCTTTTCCCACAGGCTTCCCCTCCCTTCCCTGGCCACTCCTAGTCATCCATCCAGACTCAACTCATCCGTTCCTTTTCGGGAAGCTTTCCTTGATGTCACGGAGAAATTTCTCCCTATGCCATTTTCATAAATGATTTAGATTTTTTTTTTTTTTTGAGATGCAGTCGTGCTCTGTCACCCAGGCTGCAGTGCAGTGGCGCGATCTTGGCTCCCTTCATCCTCCGCCTCCTGGTTTCAAGCAATTCTCCTGCCTCAGCCTCCCAAGTAGCTGGGATTACAGGCATGCACCACCACGCCATGCTAATTTTTGTATTTTTAGTAGAGACAGGTTTCACCATGTTGGCCAGTCCGGTCTCGAACTCATGACCTCAGGTGATCTGCCCACCTTGGCCTCCCAAAGTGCTGGGATTACAGGCATGAGCCAGTGCTCCTGGCCAATAAATGATTTAGAATCTTTAATTGCAACATTTATAAGGTTGGTATTACAGTTATTCATTTACTATTTACAGAGATAAAAGATGGGCTCCATACAAGTCAACATGCATTATGATTTTGACACCTCATCTCCCATCCTCCTTTGTAACCTCAGAGCCCCTTGAATATGTTTAGATAAATCAGACCCCCACCCCAGTCTCAGGCCACGTGCTCTGGAAGGTGACATCACCCCAGGCCTTATGTGGACCATGTGACTCAGGCCCTAGCCAATCAGTACACAGAATCCCTTTGAGGGTTTCACTCATGTCTGGCCATAGAATTGTGCTCATGAATGCACATGTGATTGTGGAAACCTCAGAACAGAGGGTTGGTGGCTTGGGGAGAGTAACACCTTGACATATAAATCTTGGAGATTGTCATGGCCTCACACAATATACAGATATTTCAGAAGATAACCAGGTACGTGTGTTTGGTGGGGGAAGTTTATTGACAATCTCATGTCCTCAGGGTTAATGATGACAGCACTCTTTTTGTCCAGGATGAGGTCCTGTCAGATCCCTGTCTCTACTAAAAATACAAAAATTATAGGATGAGGTCCTGTCAGTTCTAAGCACATGCCAAGTGGAATTTACCAAGATTCTGATTTCCCCAACCTAAGCACCCGAACATACCTTAAAACATAATTAATCACCTGGCATATTTGCAAACACTGCCCTCAGCCAACCACTTTTCCTGGACCTCATGCCCAGCAACGTCTCACCATACCACCTGTATCAGCCTGAGGACAATTACACATGAATAACCTGTCAAAGTGCCCAGCTGATGTGAAACTATGCACAATTCCTACTCTAGGGGAACAGGCCATCAGCTGAGGGCCTAAGGAATGTACAGCCTGTTAGACCTGCCCAGGATCTGCTTGCAATTAGAGTGAATCCCAATGTGTCAGGGTTCCCAAGACCACTACCAGGTTCAGTAATTTATAAGAAGAATTCACAGGACTCAGCATAGAATCAACCCCTGAATATGACTGGTTATTGAAAAAGCAAAGCATAATTAGACAATGGAAAATGTGCATGAGACGAAGTCAGGAGGAAGCCAGGTACAAACTTTCAGAGTCCTCTTCCAGTGAAGCCATACGGGAAGCACTCAATTCCTTCTGGAACATGTCTCAGCATGTCCACAATGTTGTTTTTCAGGGAAGCTCATCAGATAATCAGCACCTGGAGTTTCTATTGAGGGCTGGTTACATTAGGAGTCTCTGCCTGGCACATATCAAAATTCTAGACTTCCCCCCAAAATACAGGAGGTCACCATAAACCACATTGTTTGCATAAATAATCTTGATGCAGTGAGTCATTCTTATTAGGAAATGGCAGGAACTCTCTTGACATCCAAGTTCCAAGGTGGCAGCCAAGCACCAACCTTGTAAACAAGGCATTCCAAGGACAGCAGTCTTAGGACAGTTGGCTTAACTCTATTCTGCACACCCCAGATGTATGAGACTTCTGGGGGAAATAATAACTTTCATTTTTGCAAGATTTAAATTTACAGGAACTACAGGTGGCTCTTATTGCCTTCACAAAAGAAGTGTGTCTTGGATTTGACACAACAGAAGACTAAACTTAGAGATGAAAAAAGATAAACCATGTCCTTCTGAGCCCCTGAATACAGCCGCAGCTGAAACTCAAATGTACCCTGGATGTTTGTTTAGTAAACCAATAAATTCCATCTCTTCTATCTAGAAATAATGTGATGTTTTTTCACGTGCTAAAGAAAGAGACCTAATTCTAACATTTTATACAGTTAGAACCACATATTGTTTACCATTGGACAATGTGGTTCTTAGAAAACACAATAAAATATTGAAAAAAGGTTTGAAGAAAGTAAAGAAGGAAGGCAGGAGTAAAATAATGGCCGGGGTAAGAGGGAGAGTGAAATGTAGGTTTTGTTTGTTTTGTTTTGAGACGGAGTCTCACTCTATCACCCAGGGTGGAGTGCAGTAGCGCAATCTCAGATCACTGCAATCTTCACCTCCTGGGTTCATGCGATTCTCGTGCCTCAGCCTCCTGAGTAGCTGGGACTACACGTGCGCGCCACCAACACCCAGATAATTTTTGTATTTTTAGTAGAGATGGGGTTTCGCCGTGCCTAGGCTGGTCTCAAACTCCTGAGCTCAAGCAATACACCCGCCTTGGCCCCGCAAAGTGCTGGGATTACAGGTGTGAACCATCGAGCCTAGTCAAATGTAGGTTTTAATTAAATAGCCAATCTGAGAAATCAGGAGAGCCTAAATAAAGAGCTGAAAGTTTCCACAGAAATCTTATTCTTCTGCCCCCAAAGGATGCCACCCATGAAATAAAATACACTGTGGATTTCACTGCTATCTCTGAAAGGAAAACACAACCTTTAAAAGATCATTAGTGTGAAAAGAAAGTAATTGGATTGTTGAATGATACAAAGAAGTAGGTTTTGATAAGGAAAATTGTTCTAAGTTGACACCCTAGGGAAATCATTTCTAAAAACAGTTAATAATGAGATAGATTTCATGCTTCAAGAGAACCCTTAATAGAGGTTTCACTGGATGAGAGACAGAGAATATTTATAACCTTAATACAAATTATCCATTTGTTAGATACTGGCCCTGTATAGTTTTTTGTTGGTTTGTTTGCTTTTTCTATCTTGGCACACAGGAGAAAAAGGAAAGAAGTGCTATAGGCCTGTATTTCAGTGAAACATCTCTTAGAAAAGTAATTTGAACAGTGGAATCATTCTTTGCTTTTGCACAAGCCAGTGTTCAGAAATGCAGACATGGAAAGGAGATGAATAAAGAACAAAATCCACATTTCCTAAATTGACAAACATGGACATCTTCTAAAAGGTAAAATAATATTTTGATATACCAGTAACATTTCTCAAGTTGCTAGTGTGGAAAATCCTGAATTAGTAGTTATTCACCGTCAGTCTATGGTGGATGTCACACAGTCGGAAGGGAAAGAAGGTGACACTAGTGAGTGAGGGTGGCCTGGTGTAGCAGATGGGAAATTTAGTGTTTTAGAGACTACCTATTACTCTCCTTCAGTCCTTTCATAAGAGAGGAATATGAGCCCAACAGTGCCATTTTTTTTTTCAGAATACTGGAAGTTCAGATTTTTAATAAAATTTCTGGATTTTATAAATTTTGTAACTAATTTGAAATCTTTATCTCATTGACAAACTAAAGAGAATTCTACTGAGGTTCAGCCTGGCTGCTGAGAAATGGCTTTAGGACATCTTCAACACTATTGGGATTCCGAATAAAAATGCCAACTTCGACACTGAAACCATGTAACATTACTCAGTCATGGAGGTCTGTATTATCTCACTGGCTTAAATCAAGAAGGTTTTGATTCTTGTTACATCATGGCTCAGTGAGGGTGAATGGGAGTTTCTACTCCACGCAGTCATGCAGGAATCCAGGTTTTTTCCATACATGTTAAAAAAAAGGATAAATTTCACAAACAAGTTAATAAATTATGTTTGAATGATTACTTGGACTAGAGTTTAAAACAAGTTAACAAATTATGTTTGAATGATTACTTGGACTAGAGTTTAAAACAAGTTAATAAATTATGTTTGAATGATTACTTGGATTAGAGTTTAAAACAAGTTAATAAATTATGTTTGAATGATTACTTGGACTAGAGTTTAAAACAAGTTAATAAATTATATTTGAATGATTACTTGGACTGAATGATCATTCTAAGTGTCCAGTTTATTGTTTCAAGTGAATTTGCAAAGTATAGGGACACTTTGAAAACAACAGATTCATCTTTTTAGGCAAAATGCCTCCAAATAATTGAAGAGTATGTGATTTCTCAGCTCTACAAGATCATTATCAAAATAGTCTCACTCCAACAAAACAAAACTCCCTCAGTTCCTAAGGCAGTGGTCCTCAGTGAGGGGGCAGCTTTCCTCCCAGGAGAATCGGGGATGGTCTGGAGTCATTTTGGTTGTCATAACTGGGAAGGGAGTGCTTCTTACATCTAGTGGGTGTTGGGCATGGATAACTGTAAACATTTTATGATGCACAGAACAACCAACCAGGAGAAAGAATTGTGCCACCCAAAATGTCAATAGTGCTGAGATTGAAAAACTCTATTTCATGCCAAATGGCAGGACCCAGAACCTGTGCACTTCGAAAGCTGATATATCTGAATTTCCTTTTTTTTTTTAACTTTGCTACTTTTATTTTTGCTCTGAGTCATGAATTTTTTTTTTTATACTTTACTTTCTGGGATACATATGCAGAACGTGCAGGTTTGTTACAAAGGTATCCATTTGCCATGATGGTTTGCTGCACCTATCAACCTGTCATCTAGGTTTTAAGCCCCGCATGCATTAGGTATTTGTCCTAATGCTCTCCCTCCTTTTGTTCCCCACCCCCACAGGCCCTGGTATGTGATGTTCCCCTCCCTGTGTCCATGTGTTCTCATTGTTCAACCCCCACTTATGAGTGAGAACATGCAAACACATTCCCTTAACACCAGGAGATACCTCTTCTAAAGAGGAAAATGGGGCTCCTGTCACTTGGAACTTCTGTTACCCAGTGATTCCCCCTGCCCCATCCCCCAGTGGTTAAGATTATTGAGACTGATTATTTCAAAGGACAAGAGCAATTCAATTACTATCAAGTCATTTCATGGAGCTCTATGAAATAGCCCACTGAAAATGACCAAAAGTGAAATGCACAAATCTGAATGCTGCTGATTCAGTTTCAGAAAGGAAAATGATGCATCTCGATTTCCACAACACAGTCTCTCCTTGCGAAACCTATTTGGTCTTTAAGGCTCAGGAATCCACCAATTGATACCCATTTCCATCAAGACTTTATTGATTATCTCACAAGAAGAGTAAACACTCATGCCTGTATCAGATAATAAAACCTGACCAAAAGAAAATACCCTAGAAGTTGTTTTCTGTCTTTTACAAAGGTTTAGTAAATCATAAGCATTCAAAAAATGTTGGCTGCATTAATGAGTGAAGATTTCCTTATATCTATTCTCAAATATGTCAAATCTTTCCACTTATTAAAAAAATCAGATCTCATGGTTTAGAGATAAAATCCTATAATTTGTAAATGTTAGCACTAGTATATTGTGTGGCTTAAACAGAACTCTCTTGCTTGTCAAGGGAAGCCAGGGTGAAACCTCAGAATTAAAGATTGTGTGTTTTGTTGTCTTTGTTTTTCTGTTTTTCCAAAACAAAGGGCTATTACATTCAGCATCTTTAATTTCAGAAAACAAAATCCACTCTTGTTAATTTTAGCAGGAAAGGGCATATTAAGAAATATTAGGAAGCTCATGCATTGTCAAAGCAAGGGTAGCAGAGGTTTGCCTGAGATTCCAGAAACAACTCCAAGAGACACTTCAAACAGCCAGCCAGCATGGTAAAGAAAAATTAAAAGTGGGAAGACCAGGAAACCAGAGCAGCCATACAATGGAGGGAGCCAGGGAGATGAGGGACTGTGGAATGGGAGGGGCCATTAGTGGGAGGGGCCTTGGATGGGAGGAGCCATGAAGGAGAGGGACTATGAAATGGGAGGGGACATGGATGGGAAGAGCCATGGGTGGGAGGAGCCTTGAAGTAGGAGGAGTCATAATGGCTGTAACACTTGAGAAGATGAGACCACCACTCTTGATCCAGGAATCATGCTACCACATTTGTGACCATCTTTCACAATACTGACGCCCTGTGTCACAGTTATTTCCTAATGTAGTTTCCGTATCAAAATCTCACATAAAAGTGTCGAATTGGCAGAGCCCAAGTCGCGTTCTCCTTCCCAACTGTAACAATGAGGTTAAAAAATACAGCTTTTGGTGTTTGTATTCTATGTTTGGAAGCTGGATTTGCAATTGAAGAGGACTATCAAAATGTAATGAGTGTATGTTAGGGCTTGCTATATGTCCACAATATCTGATTCCCTTTCTTCCTGGACATACAGGTAAATTTCCTGGCCTCTATTGCAGCGAGCAGAGTATGTGATTTATGATTTGGTCCCTGTTAATGAACTATCTGGCACATTCCTATGTGGAGTTCCAAGTGTGTCCCTAATATCCTCCCATGCAATATTTCTAATACTCTTTCTTCATCTATTGGCCCAAGGTGCAACGAAGCCAGACTGCCTTTGAGATATTAGGGGCTTCCACAGTCACTGGAAGGGAGAAGCCTCGATCCCTAAGTGACTGTGTGGAGCAGAGCCTCTCATATTCCAGCAGCCAATTGGACTCTAAAGACACTTTAGTGGGCTGACTGGTAGTACAAGTTTATCTGTTACTATTGCTAGGTTTGCTTTAATTGATACAGAGTACAATGACTAAAAATAGTAATACACAAAGCTATAACCTCCAAAGAAGTAGGACAAATTCTGACATCATTGAAAGGGTAATCTCAAGTCAAATTATTAAGGTTTCATGAAATTTTTGGGGTTTATTTTCTGCCAACATACCCTGTAACATTTGTGATAATGTTATTACTGAAATAGTGGGAATCATCAGAAACACAGAATATATGATCTAATAGAACAAAATGTTAACCATTTTAAATAATCAGTCTGCCTATGAAAGCTTTGTAAAACTTCCATCAAGAAAATGCAGCTAACTCCTTTTTGTACATGCTCTGATATGGATAATATTGTTTGCATATTTAAAATCTTCTGATTGAAAAATTACTCTTTTCTTCTTTATGGGCCATTTACTTTACTGTATTATATCAAGAAGATGCAAAACAAATGTCTAAGATGTAATTTACTCTAATATGTTACTTAATGCTGTAAATGGTTTTCTAATAAGTGCAGTAGGTGTGAACTCAAAAATGTTTTTGCCTTAAGGTCCAGAAAATGTTCTTAGAATATTTTGATAATTGACCTTTTCCTGTGATTGACATTTCTAGTTCAATTGTCCTATTGTTCTCTAGATAGTAATCACTCACCACTTTTTTTTGCACTGAGGAAATGTCACAAGAGGTTGCAGAAAATATTAAATGTCACCCATGCAGATGATAATTATGTTTTCTAGAATGAGAGCCTTCTACAACCAAAAATAAATAAATAAATGAATAAATAACCATTAACGCTGCTTGGCCCTTAATTCTGATTCCCTGACCTTTTTGTATTTATTGTAAGAGTGATGAAAGGTCGCATTTTGGAATTATTTTAATTGATATCACAATTAACATATTCTTCTGGCAAAGAGCCAAGTTCTGGACATAGATGGCTTGGGTGTGATTTGAGGTTTCAACTCTTGCTTATTTCTTAAACATTGTCCATGGGTAAATGAATCATAAACCTGGCCCACATGTGAGGAAATGCATCTTAGATCTCATCTCTCCATGGAAGTTGTGGGGGAAAAAAATGTGGCTGTCTTTAATCTAACACAGGGTGTGAGGGCTAAATGTCATCCCTGACTTACTCTGTCTCCACGGGGCCCTTATTCAGTGACCAACCTGAACAACTGCACAGGGCAGCCCTGCCCATGGGAGTCCCAAAAGAGAACACTTGATCTTCTTCTCAAAGTAGTTATTCTTTGCAAGTGATTTCTCCCTGACTGACCGGGAAAGAGAACTGCACATCTTAATTTTCTGATTCCAAGTGTAGCAAGGTTACAAGATATTTGTTATTATTATAGTTTCACACTCAAATAATTCTTCTGTGCTCTAGTAAATCATTTCAGAAAATGACATCTAATGAAGCTAGTAAAAGTCCCCAGTTACTGGCCACTCCATTTTATCTTCCCCCACGAGTTAATGCCAATTTTAACTCGTGTTTAAATCAGTCAGGTGAGATGAACAAGCAAAGTCTACTTAGATAAAACTATCCAATAGATAGTATTTTATGGCTGTACTTAAGGGCAGGAATATAAATCCAACACTAACAGATGCAGTGCCTGTAAGTGGTCTGGGTCTCTGCTCCCTCATTCTGAATTACTGGGAGTTTTATAGTTCTTAATATTCTTTCTTCACCTAAAATAAAAGCCACGTCCTTTCACCAGTAGGCGATAAACACATTAGATTTCTGAGGAAGGCACAGTGCAAAATTATAATTGCCTTAGAATGAATGCCTTTGGATGACAGTCACCGAAGGAGTGGAGCAAGTCTGTCTGTAAAGTTCCTTTAGCTGAACCTGATGTTTAGCCTGGTGGTCGTGTCTTGGAATATAAACATCCATTTGGGCATCACATTGTCTCTGAGCTGTGTGAAATTCTCAAGCAAGCCTGGTCCCTATTGCTTTAGGTAATAGATGACCCTCTCAAGGTTCTTTGTGACATAAACATCCAAGGTCACCTCCATCACATGCATATCCTCAGAAAGAAAAGCCTTGGGGCAGACAGCACAGAAGCCATCAGATGTGAATGGGTAGAGCTGACCCCCGGTATCAAGTTTGGAGGTGAATCAACATATCGTTCTCATCTAATGTCCATGACTTGTTAAGGTGATAACCCAAGACAATCAGGGCATAGCATCTCCCTAACCACAGAGACAAATTCAAGGGTGCAAATAACCTAAACTAAGTCCGTCAGTGAAATCAAAACTTTCCTGTGCCGGGAGAGGGAATTTCAAAAGAGTTTGTTGGAAGGAGGACTGGAATTGCAGCAGACATGAGGATCAATATGACATAAGGAGGACAGAGCTCAGAGAATCAGCTTAGAGCATTACATTGAACCAGACTCCTGATCAACCATCATCTCTGCAATCCTCATTTTTCCCTTCTGAAAAATAGGTAGAATAATTATGTTAGCCAAAATAGGAAAATTGGTGCAACACATAACCACAGAACTCAGTGGCTTAACACAAAAGAGGTTTATTTTTCAGTCACAGTCTAACATGAGTCAATGATGGGGCTCTTCTCCATGCAGTCACTCAAGGGCCCAGGTTTCTCTCACTTTAGGGATTCTTCTTCTCCTGTGGGCTTCTCAGGGTCCTGCACTGGATCATCTGTGGCCATCCAATGGAGGGAGTAAGGGAGAGAATAGGAAGAACTGAGCAGGAGGTTTTGTAAACCCAAAATAGAGGTGACAACACCACCATCACGCACTTCCCATTGACCAGAAATCAGTTTTATCAGTAGGAGATGTTGGCTAGGTGGAGGTCCAAGAAGAGAGAAATAGTTTGGTGGACTTGATGCCTCTCCGTGCTATAATAATATCCCCTACCCCATGGGGTGGATGAGAAGATCAAAGGGGAGAATGCAAGGCAGGAGTCCTTAGTCACAGCACTACTGATATTTTAGGGCCAGCTAATTCTTTGTCGGGGAGAGCTGTGCTGTGCATTGTAGCATGTTAAAAGCATCCCTGGGCTCTACCCACTAGTTGCCAGTAATGTCTCTCCTGTTGTGCCAACAAAAATTGTCTTCAGACAATGCCAAATATCCTCTTAGAGTACAAATGGACCTTTATTGAGAACCACTGACATATGGCCTAATAAATATGTTTATTTTTATTGTGTTATTTGTATTAAGTATGAGAATTACATTTGAATGTTTTTTTAGGACTACTCGCCACCAAATTGATGCTTATCAATATTAGCTATTGCAATGTTGTTTTTGCTACTGATATCACCATAGTGGTTTCCACACCGTGTCATTTATTTAGAAACCTTTATATAAGCCACTTATTGAAGTGTCAGGAAGGTATAAGTAACATGGATATATCTATATATTGACTTAGTTATTTTGTAAATTTGGTAGTTTATTCACTTGGTATTGATTCAAAGCTGTTTGACATTATTTTCTGGAGAGATTATTTAACACAGATAATAAAATATTTCATGGCAATAAAAATTCTTCCTTTACGGTGATATCTGCTCTCTGATCATGTAACAGAGTCCAGTGCTGTAATATTCTATCTTCCCCAAATTATTCCTGTAGGGTTAATGTATAGATAGATAATAGACAAATAGCAGATAGTTATATGAGACAAATAGATGTTTATTTTTAAGGGTAACTAACAGATCCAGTACATCAAAACAAAGAGGGTTCATTTCAAGTACTGTAGAATATACATATTTTTATTTATTTTTGGCAGCACAACTCCCCTGTCTTCAACACTAGCTGGTATTAGGATATAATCTGTGGAATTGTTTATGCAAGACTTGGACCTCGAAACCAAGGACCAGTATTCTATCAGTTGCAATAGAAAAACACAGATGATTCCACCCAGCCTTTAAAGACCCCAGGTATATACCAACAGAAGCCAAATCAATCAAAGGTGATCCAGTGTATCCCAAAGCCATCAGGAAACCTCCCCTGCTTCATCATACTCTAGGAGAAAAACTCATTCCCAAAGGACACTCCCCAGTCAAGGACTGTCTTAAAACTTAAGGCTCCTTTGATTCTATAAAACTCTTTTAAAACCCCTGGGAGTCTCTGCCAAAAATGAAAAGCGTTGTAAGTCCCTTATTGGTAAGATCTGAATAAACAAACTTTGATGACCTTTACAGGTGGTCCTCATTCTATGGGTGGATCTTACAGAATAAACCATCACAAAAGCCAAAGAAAGGTTGGGGGCTGGGCAGAGTAAGTAGGAAATTTTCTTCAGATCCCAAAGGAGAGAAAAAAAAAACACGCCTAAATGTGCAGAATTATTTTCAAAAGATTTTGTTTTTAAGAGTTTCAACTCATTGGCTTCGGCCCTAAAGCTTCAATATAACAAATGGTGTTTATTAGGTAAAGATGCCTCATGTATCTCTCCTGAAAAAAGCAGCGACTCTTTCATTGCATTTCATCTAGCTGAGTTGCCTAGAGATTAAATGCCTTTTAATAATACCTGTTGAACTTTTTCTATATCTCTGTGCTGCCTTAGCCACAAAATCCATTTAGTCATTATTTGCTGCCACACTAGAAAGAGGTTTCCCGGAGAAGAAGAAATTCTACCTGTGGACCACAGCTCTCGGCCCTTAGAGTTTCTTGCCTGCCCTTTCTGACAGCCTGCCCTGCAGATTTCAGATTTGCTTGGCCAGCCCCTAACACATGAGCCAATTCCTTGGTACCTTTCTCTCTCTTTTTCTTTCTCTCTCTCTCTCTCCTTTTCCCTGCCCCATGTCCTACTGCTTCTATTTCTCTGGAGAACCTTGACTGCCTACTAATAGGTCTGTTAGTTAGAGTCACTAGGCTCTGATCAAATTCTCTTTCTGCTAAAATCTTCCTCCAAATTTGTTAAGTCACCAATTCCTGCTTAGACAGGTAAATGGGGAGTAAAAATGGTAGGTGCCTGCTGGGTGAGGTGTCAGATCTCAGGCAACAAAAAGTGATTTACTCATGGGTAGT
Source organism: Homo sapiens (assembly GCF_000001405.40). Taxonomy (NCBI): domain Eukaryota; kingdom Metazoa; phylum Chordata; class Mammalia; order Primates; family Hominidae; genus Homo; species Homo sapiens. Next base: position 126,886,239 of record NC_000012.12, on the reverse strand, counting down.
AAGAAGAATTTACCAACAACAGTATAGATTTGAAAAGGAAAGGGCTTTTTTAAACTTTTATTTTAAGTTCTGGGGTACAAGTATAGGTTTGTTACATAGTTTAGTTTGCTAAGGAGAATGGCCTCCAGCTCCATCTATGTCCCTGTGAAGGACATGTTATCTTTCTTTTTTATGGCTGCATAGTATTCCATGGTGGTGATTCCTCAAAGACCTAAAGACAGAAATACCATTTGACCCAGCAATCCCATTACTGGGTATATACCCAAAGGAATATAAATAATTCAGTTATAAACATACATACGTGCATATGTTCATTGCAGTACTATTCACAATAGCAAAGACATGGAACCAACCTAAATGCCCATCAATGATAGACTGGATGAAAAGGAAAGTTTTATTAGAAAGAAATAATGCTGCAGAGGAGTTCAGTGGGAGCCTCAGCAAGAGAGAACTGAGTCCACCGCAGTGGATGTTCCTTAGGGGTGTGTATGGACCTTAGAGCAGGAGCTTAAGGGTAAGTTGGGACCATATTAACTATGTAGGTCATGATAGATGATTACATTTTTAGGCATTCTGGTGCCTTGATGTCATCAAGGGGTGCAAAATGAGTTTTGATGTATATGCATTCTGGAGCTGTATAGAAATTGTAGTTACTTATAAATTTTGGGGAAAGAAGGCTGGTACCAGATGCCTGCTTTGGATAATAGGGAAGTCTAATTACTTCTGAATTCTTCAGTTAAGGAGCTTTGCCTCTGGAAGTCCGGCTTGATGAGCACCAGGTGATCTTTGCTCTCCTCAGTATCCACTCCTGGTCGAAACTCTCACTCTGAAAGGAACAAGCAAACTAAGTAATGAAAATCCCGAAAGCTGTGCAGCTACAACTTTTCTAAAGTTCACAATTTGTAAAATTATTCAATCAAAATTACAAACCTCACGCATTGCTACAAAAATGTAATGTATATAAATGAATTATTGTGGGGTGAGGTGTATGTGATAACATTATAAACTCTTCCTTCTCAAGCAATATATTTCACTGATTACAGGATGGTGTGGTTTTTTTTTTTTCATGAAAGAATAACCTACTGCTGGAAATATGAAAACTGATTTTAAAGATTCCCACTGTCCTTCATAATTCATCATTGTATATAACTAGGTGAAATTTATGTTACCTAACTGGATTTGGTAGTGCAATTTGGCAGTTAATTATTGTAAAATTGTGTTTGTAACCAATAGTGACTGTAATTGGATGTCAAGTTTAATTGTGGCTTGAAACCTAAATGGCATGTCCTGGGAGACACCACGTCCTAGACAAGGTGCCTCAATGTCAGCCAAATACCTCCTCACATGGGCTGTGTTTTTGTTCACAAGATTGGGAAAACATATGCTATGGTTGATATCATCAATATGTAATGAAAACATATGCTATGGTTGATATCATCAATATGTAATCAACACAAAATAAGGCAGCTCCCAAAAAAAAGACGTGACCAGCCAGACCATAACATTCCAACGTGGAAATGAAAGACATCATTTTTTTGCCTGCCATTAAAAGAAACCAGATCTACAGAAAGAAAGGGAAATGCAGGGGGGCAGAGAAAAATAAATGTCAGAAAAAGCCTCAGAGCTTTTTGGTTCCCTGTTACAGAGACCCCATTCCAGCTTAACTTTTGTATTCAATGTGACATCTTACTTCTCATAATAAATTGTCCTTTTAAGCTCTGCTGACTTGAGAAGGTCTCTTTCACATACAGCTGTAGGATGCTAACTTAAGTAAGTATCTGGTGGACACTAGACTCATAGAATGGCTAAAACCAGATGAACCTGGTCAATTAACAATAAAAGCTCAGAAGTCATAAATGTGTCATACAGTAGTAGAGTTTGTTATCCCTGAAAATTGGAAAGTTTGTACATATTTCTCCCATGGGTTCTTATTTTAACATACTTGTTACTTATAAAATGTTAGACATAGAAGGAGATTTTTTAGATTATCTAGTTCTGTAAATCACACTATCCAGAATAACTCTTGCTTTGGGGGATATGTGACCCATTTTGGAGGGGAAGACAGCCTCCCATCTAATCAGCCTTTCGTTTGCTGGGTGGTCCCCACTCTGTGACTCCTGATAAGGGCTGAGTTTTAGATCCCTTTGATGATGTCAAATGAGACCACAAATCTTCCTGCTTTCTGCCAGCTCAGACACAGGAAGGACAGCTAGACTTGACCCACTGAATTCCTGCCCTGAGATTTGCATCCAGAAGCAGGCACATGAGAACAGAGCCAGCAGGGACACGAGAACAGAGCCAGCTGGCAGCCCCAGCGTCCAGTTCACAACTGCATTGCTCCTTGGCTACGTGGTCTGCCCAGCCCCCAGCAATTCCAGCTGGCTTCCTCTTTGCTGTTAGTGGATTTGGGGAACTACCCATTAATTTTCAATAAATTCATTTTCTGTTTAAGTTACATCAACCCTGTTACCGTTATTTGCAGCCAAGTTCCCTGGCTGATACCATAACAGAGGGTCACTCAGCTCCCCTGTGTCCTGCCTGAGACACAACTCATTTTCCAGGGTAATCCAGTTCACTTTTGCATAGCTGTTGTTATGAAGCCTTTTCCCTAATGCTTTTACCCATTGTTTATAGTTTTGACTTTTGCAAACATAAATCTATGCGTTCATTCTTTGGTTACGAGTAGCATAGGTTTCTTGGAGGTTACATAAATTAGGGTATTTATATGGACGAAAGAGAGAAGAAACAAAAAAAAAAGAGAAAGGGAGAAATGACAAAGGAAATAATAAAGAAAGGTAATCTAAATGGTTCGAACGTACTATCCACAGTATGAGCAAATGCCCCAGAATGAACCCAAAATGCATGCAGTGATCCTGTTGTCCCCTCTGTCTTGGTCCTGTGCTGTCTCTGAGTCTGAGCGTCACAACATCCTGAACATGACCCTCGTGTTTTCATACTACATGGCCCTGAAGTGCCAGGCACCCTCTCCCTTTGGAGATCAGCTGAAGATCAGCCATTCAGCCCCAACACTGGAGGGAAATTGGCTGCACTGGACATGCAGAGAGATTCCCTTGTCCTATACTTTTAAGTATCTTAAGGGATGCCCAAGGGTAATTCTGATTGCTTTTGCCATCAAGACTGAAGCAGTATTTTTCTCTGTATAGCCACGTGACTTACTTACTCCCTATCTCTCTGAAGTCTTTTCTCCAGTGGCAGCTTATCCAAAAAGGGTCTGTGGACCATTACGTTGAAACAGTAAACCCTGTTCCTGACCACTGACTTCAAATGTACATTCCCTGTATACTTTTCTCAATACCATGTTTTTCTGTCTGCCTTGCCATATTCATTTACTTGTGACATATGAAAAAATTTTTTTCCCTATACAAAAATATAAGCTCCTCGGCCAGGCGCGGTGGCTCACGCCTGTAATCCCAGCACTTTGGGAGGCCAAGGTGGGTCGATCGTGAGGTCAGGAGATCGAGAGTATCCTGGCCAATATGGTGAAACCCCATCTCTATTACAAATACAAAAATTACCTGGGCATTGCGGTGCGTGCCTGTAATCCCAGCTGCTCGGGAGGCTGAGGCAGGAAAATCGCTTGAACGTGGGAGGCAGAGGTTGCAGTGAGCCGAGATCGCGCCACTGCACTCCAGCCTGGCAACACAGCAAGACTCCGTCTCAAAAAAAAAAAAAAAAGTATATATATATATATATATATATATATATATATATATATATATATATATATGAAGGACAGAAAACACATCATTCTTTGTATTCTATAACCTCTGCAGGTAGAGTGAGTGATGGCTGTCACAGAGCAAGTGTACAATAAACACTAAATGAGCACGTGCGTAGATACCTATTATATAAACTCAACTCACAGGCAGCCTGGGAGAGCCAGCCTCTCATTCTCTCTCTTGCTTTCAGAAAAGGCTCCAATACAATATTTATTTCTTCCTGTGAATTCTGTTACCTTTCCCACTGGATTAATTGGTGAAAACATTTAACACAGACTGAACAAATTGCGCTTCCATGAGAAGGGAGAGCTGTGTATACGTGGGTGGGGAGGGTGTCAGCTAGAAAGTGGTTGCTGGAAAACCACAAACAATGTTCCATTGAGTTGCAATGATAACAGAGATGTCAGATTGACTTTACAGTTAGAGCTGCATCTTAGAGGACCTAAAAGAAGCTGGGCACGAATGTCTAGGTTGTCTTTGGAGAGTTCTCTTGATGTAAACAGATCCGTCTGCTGAAATCCCAACTCTCTCACGGGCTACGCGATAATGAACAATTTTATCATAGTTCCGTGCCTCTGTTTCTATATCTCTGAAATAGGAATGAGGGAAGTTTCTATAATACCTGAGGGGGCTAATGTGAGAATTACATTCATTCATGTATTCACAGATATCTATTTAGAAACTCCTACGTTGCAAACATTGCTTTACTTATCAGAGATACAGTGGAGAATAAAATAGGAAGAACCTCTAACCTTAAAGTGCATAAATACATAAATAACAAGGGTGTTTCAGGTAGTGAGAGGTGCTGTGTAGAAGACAAATAGGGACCGGTTTAAATCCATGTGCGTTTGTTAACCGTGGCTGTGACGATGCTGCCACCAACCACAGCACCTCAGAGCCCAAGCAGTCATCATTTGCGGCTCATGCGTTTGTGGATTACCTGGGCACTGGCTGATCTGTGCTGGGCCTGGCTGGGGTACCTTGTCTTCAAATAGTTGTGCTCTGTATGGCTGTCACGTTTCTCTTCAAACCAATCAGCCCAGGCATGTTGTGGCACAGGAATGGCAGAGGTTTGTGACAGACCGTGGAAAATTCAAGGCCCTTTAAACATACACTAGCGCAGGCAGTCTACCCCTTGCACCTCGTTCTATTGCAACACAGTTGACATGACGGAACAGAAATTCAAGGGATTAATAAATACATTCTGCTGTTTTGTTGACGGGAATTTGAGGCTCACAATGGAACATGGCACGCGCAAAGGGATGGCTTAAGGAATTAGCACCAATGATGCAACTGATCCCAGGGGCCCTTCTGAATAGTCATGCTCAGCAAAAGCCTGAATCGCTGGAAGAATCTGAGCTAGAAAATATCTGTGTTACAAATGTCCAGGTTGAGAAAAGTCCTCCAGCGGAGGAACTAATTTAGGGAAAAGGTTAGACAGTAAATGGAATACAAAATGGCCGGCGAGTCCCAAGTGTCTTGAGCCAGGGAAAGACCAGGGATTGGTGGCAGCTGGCTGCACCCTGGGCTGGGGGTCCGGGGCCATGCTACTTCTGCATGCTTAGAGGACATGTAAACCACAGACAGGGAACCTGGTCCCGAAAAGTTCATTTTTCCCTGCTTGCTCTACTGAAAATAAAGACAGTGTATAAAATATCATGTGTATATTATATAGAGACCTCTTGAAAAGGTGATAAATTCTTGTGATTTGGGGCACAAAGGTGGGAAGCAAATCTTATTTTATTGCTCAGTAATCCATCCTGCTCAGCCTATCTCCCTTCTTAATTTCTGACAATCCAGGGGATCTTCCCAAGTCTCTGCCTGGGGCTGTGTTTGGAAAAACAAGGTCACATGAACCATTGGGTAAAAGTGAGGCAGGAATTTCTCAGCATCGCTGACTCTGTCCTTAACGGCAGGGAGAGTCTCTTCTGTAGGGGTGTAGGGTCTTGGGTACAAACAGGTTCCTGCTCAGTCACAGGGACGGCATTACTCTCTTTTGTATCGGTACAGATGCCCCTTGTGTGGGGCATTCTTAGGCATTCAAATTCCAACTGACGTGGTAGCTCAATTGTATCTATTAAGAATTTGCTCAAATGTTATTTCATTGCTTGTCTAATGTTATAGCTGCCTCCTTTGCCTACTGTGCTTTGCCAAATGTTGTGTGTCTCGCTCCTGTAAGAGGAACTTGTCACTGAAATTTACCTCACCACTTTCTACCGAGATCTCCGTTTTCAAAGTTATTGTGCTTATGTTGATTAGCCATTTTATTTTCTTATTGTTAACATGAGAGTAACATATGCATGCAGCTTTCATTTTTCTAAGGAAAAGCCAAACTTCATAATTTTTTGAATGGAATTAATAAAAACCAATTAATCATGGCTATGCCTACAGTGCCATGTTCAACAACAGATGCTTCCCATAGTAATTAGGTTGGAATAATAACAGGAGAGGAAATGCCCAGTCATTCGTACTGCTAAGAGTGCTGACAAGACTGTTTCATCAATAAAACCACTGGGAGAGGAGTTCTTAGCATCCAGGGCTGGCAATGATTTACCGTGTGCCTTTAGTGGAGCCATTCCAACTTCCTGCCTCAGTTTCCTCAACAAAACATAAAGAAATAACATAGTTCCTTCTTTTTTTTTTTTTTTTTTTTTTTTTTTTTTGAGATGGAGTTTCGCTCTTTTTGCCCAGGCTGGAGTGGGATGGCACGATCTCGGCTCACCGCAACCTCCGCCTCCCGGGTTCAAGTGATTCTCCTGCCTCAGCCTCCGGAGTAGCTGGGATTATAGGCATGCACCACCACGCCCGGCTAATTTTGTATTTTTAGTAGAGACGGGGTTTCTCCACTTTGGTCAGGCTGCTCTCGGACTCCCTACCTCAGGTGATCCACCTGCCTCAGCCTCCCAAAGTGCTAGGATTACAGGCATGGGCCACCGCACCCGGCCCATAGTGCCATTTTTAATTTGACCACAAAACAACTATTTGGGAAAAATTGGTCTGCAAAAGGGTGGAGACAATGTGACAGTTCCCTTGTAAATGGCCTGCATTTTCCTTATTTAACTGTTATCCTTTGGATCCTAGATATACAAATCCGTCCCCTGAGCAACCTCGGGTTATTTATACACATTTTGGCTGCTGTCTGTAGTTCATTGAGCTCCTTTGTGTTTCCATCTTTTATCACATAGAGACAGTATATCCTGATACAGAGATGATTTCAAATCCTTACTTCCCCACTGTCTCCATAAGAAAGTGTTATGCAGCTTTTTGCATTTAGCCGGCCCATGTAGGGAGAGTTATGTAGCATCACGCTCGTAAAACACTTAGCAGACTATCTGATGCATTGTGCATGGGGGCGCTCACCAAATAAGTTGATGTTACCATCATTATTTTGAGGCTTCCTGGTGTGTGCAGGGGCACATAACACAAGTTGTGGCTGCCTCACCAGATGCAAGAGACAGGCCCCAAATTCTCCTGCTGTTTTCGTTTGTTTGCTTTTATGTCTTTATATATCGTGTCAGAGTGTGTGAGCAGAGTTTAAACTCAAGCCCACAATAACGACAACCAGCATGGGATAGACCTGGATCCATCAGACTGGTGAGAGGGACCCTGTTATGGGCTGGTCAGAGGGGCTGGAGACTGGAGTGGGCTTTACCTTCAGTACTGGGTGGAAGAAATTTCATCTCTTGCCATTCACAAGAAAGCCTTGTGCTTTGGAGGACTTACAAATGCTTCAGTGACCTTCCCATTCTGGCTGGTGGGAATTGGCACCTGTGTGAGCTCTGAGTACTTTTCCCTTACTCCCTTTGAGGTGGTTCTTCCTTGGCTAACCTCACATGCGTGCGTGGATCAGAATCCTGCTGAGGACTTCACCTGGGCTCGCTGTACAGCCCAAGAGTTTCTTCTAGGTGCAACTTTCCTCATCTTTGTTAACTCTGCTTGCAAATATCAGCTGCCATGGCCCCCCCCAGAATCCCTACTCCATGGCACCAGCTCAGGAAGTTCACCAGGCTTCAACTGGGTCCTCGCTCATCCAAAAGCTTCTCTAGACAATGGATGGGGGGATCCACCTTGTAGGATCCACCTTGATCATTTCCCATCTCTTAGGAATCAGTGTCCTACATTGGCTGATGCCTAATGTCTTGAAAACCATTATTTTATATAATTTTGGTTTTTTTCCAGGTGAGATCATGAATCTAGTCTTGATTACTCCACCTTGGTCAGAAGGAGAATTTCGATCTGTGTCGTTTGCTGAGGTGAAAAATCCAGATTTTTGCAGTGGCATTGGGCCAGCACTGTGGCTCATTTGATACAGTTTCCATTCTGCCCAGTTCTCAGGACAGTTTTGAGGCACCACACTGTCACCTCTCTGTACTCTGTTTACCCACCCCCTCACCCGCCTGATTATTCTGCCTGTCCATCATTGCTTCTCCTTTTTTCTAGCAACTTCTTTCCATGTTGTCCTTTGAGGAACTGTCATTTGACCACTCTCCTTTCATGTGGAAATCCTTTGGAATTGGCATGATCATCAGAATGTGTCCTGCCCTTCCTATAAGGATGGCTTCAGAAATGCATATGTGACTGAACACATGTAACTACCAGTCCTCCAAGAGAAGAACGTGGTCCCTAATGGTTCCTGTGGAGGGAACTTTTGTGGAGGGTTCTTATTGCAGGCATTCAATTACGTGCCTCTTTCTGAAGTGACCACTGTGGTCAGGAATAGGAAGCTCCACTTCACCTGTGTATGTGTGGGGTCTGAGTATGATTTGCTAAACTGGTAGAATAAAAGCATGGCACTGTCACATTCATTACTAAATGGAGAGAGAATACGGCCAATACAGGAGAGAGAGAGAGACAGAGAGAGAGAGAGAATTTGGGAAAAGAAGGCAAATTCCTTAGGAGACTGTTGAGGACATTGAGGGCCTGGCTCAAGATATACCAGCAGTCAGCTAGTCCAAATTTTCCAGGTAAATTTTATTTCCTTTTTTTTTTTTTGAGAAGGAGTTTCGCTCTTGTTGCCCAGGCTGGAGTGCAATGGCGCTATCTTGGCTCACTGCAACCTCTGCCTCCCAGGTTCAAGCGATTCTCCTGCCTCAGCCTCCTGAGTGGCTGGGATTACAGGCGCCCACCGCCACACCCAGTTAATTTGGTATTTTTAGTAGAGACGGGGTTTCTCCACGTTGGTCAGGCTGGTTTCAAACTCCCGACCTCAGGTGATCTACCCACCTAGGCTTCCCAAACTGCTGGAATTACAGGCATGAGCCACCGTGCCCGGCCTTACTTCCATTTCTTATTGTAAACTTTGTATGTGTGTTTTTAAGCCAGAATGGTTGGGATTTAGTTATTGGTATATAAAATAATCCTAATATGACATTCACTGTGAAGCTGTTCACACTGCCCTTTGTTAGTTAGCCCTGCTTGTACAGGCATAGTGTGGGTTGCGGATTGTGCCAGCACCCAGAATACCCAGTCTAAAGCAGGAGTGAGGCCCCAGCCATCTCTGGAAGGGATGGCCTGTACAATTATTGTTTTTTTTTCTAAGAGTCCTGAAGCACGGCATGGAGTGTTTGGAAGTTAGGTATGCCCTTTACTTCACAAATAACAGCAATTATATTGGCCCCTAACTGCCTCCTTGTTTTTATTTGTTGAAACTGGATGAATTGAGGGGTGAGAGTGAAGGGCTCTCAAATCCTTAGGTTATGCAGAATGTGTACACTAAGACCTACTCTTAAATATCTTTTTTCCCTGCTTCCCTCTTGCTACAGAGAGAAAGCACAAAAGATTTTTAGAAAAGGTGATACTGTTGGCACAGGAGGTGGGGGAAAAATCCAGTTTTCCAACTTAGTGATCATCTGTTGCTAGTTATCTTTCCTTCTCCCAGATCTGGTTATCGGTGGATCACTGTGTCCTCTGAAGGCTCTCCCAGAGCTGTACTGGAGATTGCAGGGATATAAGGACCACTTCATAAAAGCTCACTTTTTTTTTTTTTTGAGATGGAGTCTCGCTCAGCCGCCCTGGCTGGAGTACAGTGGTGCGATCTCAGCTCACTGCAACCTCTGCCTCTCAGGTTCAAGTGATTGTCCTGTCTCGGCCTCCCAAGTAGCTGGGATTACAGGCACCCGCCATCATGCCCAACTAAGTTTTGTATTTTTTTTTTAGCAGAGACAGGGTTTCACTGTGTTGGCCAGGCTGGTCTTGAACTCCTGACCTCGGGTGATCCACCCGCCTTGGCCTCCCAGAGTGCTAGGATTACAGGCGTGAGCCACTGTGCCTGGCCAAAAGCTCACCTTTAATTCAGCTCTATCTAACTTGTTTCTCCGGTGCATTTGCTTTTCTCAAGGCATTGAGCTTTCTCCAGTGGCCGGAGCTGCTAATTAGTTATTGCAAGCTTCTTTCCTTAGGGGAGATAAAAAGGTTTTGATCAAATCAAAGTGCTTCTAATTCTGATTCATTTCCCTTGTTCTTGTTTCTTAAGTCCCCAGCTTAGAAGGGGGTTGGTTGATGCTTCCTTTTACTTCAAGCTGTTTCTTCTCTAATGTTAAATGGTAAATCCATACCTGATGTGTCTGTTATTGATAAAGTTCAGATGGCATTTCAAGTTTCTGCAGAAGCTTTCTCACTTTCTGTGTGAGCATTTTCTAAATGGAAAGATTCTTCCTTCCATAGGATGCTTTCAATTTGAGTTCTAAGAAATTTATTTATTAGATTTTTCTTTTTCTTTTTTTTTTTTTTTTTTTGGTTTACTATCTGTCTTCTAGTTTTTTTCCTCTAGGAGAAAGTGCTTACTTTAAAAGCACAGATAGGTTTCTCAAAAGGGTCTTTGCCTAATGGATAATGCGGTCTTCCTTTTATAATCCACTCTTTATATTGAATTTCAGATTTCCACCTTCTACATTATTTTCTATTGGCTGGTAGATATGTGATATTCAGAAAGGTTTCCATCAGACACTTAAACTAAATCTATCATTTAGGATTTGTGTTCTGTATTCATTAGAATTCCAATAATTTCCTTCTTTCTATTCAAGTCCTTCTCCCTTTCTTTCCAGCCTTCAATTTCTTGTAAAAGAAATTTTCAATGTTTTTAAAGATCAGAAAGTGTTTTCTTATGTTGTGAATTATTCTTCTGCCAGGCTCGTAAGCTGTTTTCACTCAAGTGACTTAGAATGGCCAGGCTTCATCTTACAGAAACCATATCTAACTTTGAAAATGACCCATATACACACTTCACCATGGAGAGAGGGGGCTCCCTTTTGGCTTATTTTCAACAAGGCCTCTTTTATCATTACACAAAGAGATAGACCTATTCAGATTAGTATTAACTGATGACAAACCCAGTGTATCTAACTCACTCAAAGAGCTGGCCTGTCTTGAAGGAAGCTCAAGGATTTCCTGGGTTTATGATCTAGTTAAACGTGTTAAGAATTTTACAATATTTTTCACTTTGTCAGATAGCCTTTTGATTACTTGCTTTGTCCATGTTAAATTATGTATTTTTTAAAGACTGTTAAGAAGGATTACTTACCATCATCTCCCCAGGAACCTAGAGGACCTGTGTATCCCCTGAGCCTTCAGACACCCCCATTGCTAAGGCAGAGCTGGGACTAAAGGCTTGTGGCCATCAGCAGACCTAGCGCAGTAGCCAAGGCCCTGCACGCCTGCCTTTGGTGGCCAGACACCAGCTTAGACACAAGACTACACTGGACCCTGGGGAATGTGGAGCTTGGAATGCAAACAAGCACCTGGCAACCAGGACAGGCTACCAGGGACTAGAGAACCAGGAGGCTTCATTGGGTAACAAAGTTCTTCCCAAGCATTCTCTTGCATTCCACCCGGGGAACAAGACAGCACCGGGTTTCACACTGGCAAGGCAGGAGGCTGTGTGCTGCCAGAACGACCAGCAGGGGGCGCAAAGGCCACGCCAGGCACCTGCTGGCCTCAGAGAAAACAGAAAGGGAACCAGGAAGCCCACTCCTGCTGTCCTTTCTCTGCAAGGAAATGTGCCAGGGCACTGCAGCCCAGACAGTCGGCAGTAGAGGACCCATGAAGGTCATTATCACTGCTTTTCCCTCCTCTTATTGAAGCTCTTCCCTCTGCAGCCCTGGAAGCCTGATCCTACCTACAGATGTCAGCGAAATCTCCCTCCCTCAGGGTCCCTGTCTAGTTTGTTTTTGACCCGGCCACAAATACTAGGACAGAAAAATAATGGACGGCACAAAGGTCTTTATTGTCTTTTGTTGGTCTGTTTTTATTTTTTTGAGGTGTTTTCCCATGATAACTAGTGTAATGGAAGCATAATGTATTTCACGTTGTAAACCAAAAAGTATCTGAGAAAAGACTCAATCAATTTAGAAGTTTATTCTGTCAAGGTTAAGGACATGCCTGTGACACAGCCTCAGGAGGTCGTGAGAGCACGTGCCCATGGTGGTCAGGCTACGGTTTGGCTTTGTACATTCCAGGGAGACCGAAGACATCAGCGGTCCAGAAAGGCAGGACAACTCAAAGTGGAAGCTTCCAGGTCATAGGCGGATTCAAAGATTGTCCAATTGGCAATTGGTTGAAAGAGGTTATCTAAAGACCAGATATCCAAAGAAGGGAAGGTCTGGGCTCAGATAAAGGGTTGTGGAGACCAAGATTCTTATCATGCAGATGAACCCTCCAGGTAGCAGGCTCAGAGAGGATAAATTGTAAATGTTTCTTATCAGACTTTAAAAGGTGTTAGACTCTTAAGTCAATTCTCTCCTGGATCAGGAAAAGTATTTTTAAAAATGTTTATAAGCTCAATTATTTTATTAATTTATTGTTAGTAACTTTGAGATCTGATTAAGAAATCTTTGCTAAACCCAAGATAGCAAGAGCTTTATCTTAGAAGCTTTATTCTTTTAATTTAAACACTTAGGTCTACAGTCTCTCTCAAAATCAAGTAATGGATCACTTCAGTTCCAAGTGTAACAATGAAAAATGAAAACCGTGAATTACCTCTTTCTCTATATTTTCACAGTATCTTTGTGCAAAGAAAGCAGCAAAGAGAATTAAGAGAATTGCATCATATAAAGAGTGAATTAAACCATCTAAAGGAGCAAAAATTCATCATCACATGGACAAGAAATTAAGACGTAACATCCATCTCACTATTTGCAAAGTGGCTTATTCCTACAGACAATGCAGATATGTAAAAAGGTTTTTCTATAGTTTCATCCTTTGTAGAACCTAAAGAGATAAGCCTACATTTTGAAATAAAATTTTTAAAAATCATGTAAAAAAATGACCTACTGTAGCAATGACATTTTGAAGACATCTCATAGAACATGAAGACCCCCCAGTATTATGAATTGATAACATGATTGCTTTCTTGGGCTGGAAGGATAATTTCCCTAATGGACATTAAAGCATTTGGATCATTATTTTCCATCTGGAAAGTGATAGTGTCCTGATTGTCTCAAGTAAGGGCACCCCATGAAACACAGGCCCAGGTCATGTCCTTCTCCAAATTTTCCTCCATTAAAAAAATCTAAAAAATAAACACAGCAAATATGACACCATAACTTATCTAAATTTTGCAAATTCATAAAGAGATCATTGATGCATACTAACGATGTGAATTTTAAAAATCTGATATGTAGTGCATGCACTTTGCAAACAAAAGTCAAAAAAAGGTGTACTTTTCTTCATGAATGCCATTTTTCATTTTCAAATTCCACTTTTTCTTCTTTTATTGCAACCACATTTATTACATGGCATACATGCATAGTGAGATCTGGAGATAAAATGCTGATATCTGCGGCTCAGACTTTCTATATTCTAGGGGGAACAAGTTTCCCCTAAATTACCTAAATTATCTTTACATATATAATTATGTAAATTTAGATTTTTTGTTTGTTTTTTAGAGACAGGGTCTTACTATGTCACCCAGGCTGGAGTACAGTGGCATGATCTCAGCTCACTGCAACCTCCATTTCCTGGGTTCAAGAGATCTTCATGCCTCAGCCTCTCAAGTAGCTGGGACTACATGTGTGTGCCACCACACCTGCTAATTTTTGTATTTTTATTTTTAGTAGAGATGTTATTTCACCATGCTAGCCAAGCTGGTCTCGAACTCCTGACTTCAAGTGATCTACCCACCTTGGCCTCCCAAAGTGCTGAGATTACAGACATAAGCCACCACGCCCAGTGATATATATATATTTAAATATTTTATTAATTAAAATATTAAATATTTTATATATTTAAATATATATTAAATATATATATTTTTTTGAGACAGAGTCTCACTCTGTCACTCAGGCAGGAGTGCAGTGGTACAATCTCGGCTCACTGCAACCTCCGCCTCCCAGGATCAAGCGATTCTCCTGCCTCAGCCTCCCGAGTAGCTGGGATTACAGGGGCCTGCCACCACACCAGGCTAATTTTTGTATTTTTAGAAGAGATGGGGTTTCATGATGTTGGCCAGGCTGGTCTCGAACTCCTGACCTCTTTTTTTTTTTTTTTTTTTTTGAGACGGAGTCTCGCTCTGTCGCCCAGGCCGGACTGCGGACTGCAGTGGCGCAATCTCGGCTCACTGCAAGCTCCGCCTCCCGGGTTCACGCCATTCTCCTGCCTCAGCCTCCCCAGTAGCTGGGACTACAGGCGCCCGCCACCGCGCCCGGCTAATTTTTTGTATTTTTAGTAGAGACGGGGTTTCACCTTGTTAGCCAGGATGGTCTCGATCTCCTGACCTCATGATCCACCCGCCTCGGCCTCCCAAAGTGCTGGGATTACAGGCGTGAGCCACCGCGCCCAGCCACTCCTGACCTCTTGATCCGCCCACCTCAGCCTCCCAAAGTGCCACCATGCCCAGCCTTTTAGGATCACTTTCTGCCAGCTTTTTAGACTCATAAAAGCATGCAGCTTCACAGATTGGTTTCATAAAGACAATTTTTAAGTTTTATGTCTATTATTATATGATACCTGTGATGTTTGGAAAAAGGGGAGCCATTGATCATTAAGACACATCCAACTGAGACTTCCCTTTCCATACCAATGACAAAGGATGGCATTTGCCAAAATGGCAAAGATGACGCTGACAGTTTCATGAAGTGCCCGCATAGCCAACAGGATGGCTTGTAAAAGATTTAGTAAATAACTCACCCCCAATCCTGAAACATCTGCAGCAATCTTCAGGGATCCAAGCAACTCCTCAGTGGTCTTGAGTCTTTCTTACGTCTCCAGAACTCTGCATGTCTGAGCCAGTAGCATCTTTCACTCTTGGCCCCATGCAAAACTCTTGCCCCTACGCATATACATAATCAAGCTATTAATGCAAATGAGCAAAATGGGAGCCATGGCCTCAGCCACTAAAATGCTAAGTTTTTAGGTAATTTGCGCTCCTGATTAGAAAGTAAGAAATATTTGTCCTGTTTGTCTTATCATCAAATGGGGACAATCTGGAAAAAAGCTTTTACTCAGGTTCATAGGAAAAAGGAAAGTTAATTTTTTAGAGATTCAACCTCTTTATGCCTTTTCAGATTAAACTTTTTTTTTTTTTTTGTGAGATGGAGTCTCAGTCTGTGGTAGCTGGAGTGCAATAGCACAGTCTTGGCTCACGGCAACCTCCCCGTCCCAAGTTCAAGCGATTCTCCTGCCTCATCTTCCCGAGTAGCTGGGATTACAGGGGTGCACCACCACACCTGGATAATTTTTGCATTTTTAGTAGAGTTGGGTTTCACCATGCTGGCCAGGCTGGTCTCAAACTCCTGACCTCAGGCGATTGGCCCTCCTCAGCCTCCCAAAGTGCTGGGATTACAGGTGTGAGCCACTGCAAGCGGCCGATTAATCACTTTTTAAAATTGTTTATCTTACTTTCACTTTCTGCAAAAAGAGCATTAAGTGTGTGGAAGAAAGTTAATGCATGTCTATAAATCTAAATGTCAAATTACACAGATATTTACTTTTTCTTGTTTTCAGCAGCTGGAAACCTAGGAGCAGAAGCCCAGCATAAAGATCTCTGAAAGCCTGGATGCGTGGATTCCTCTCTTACTTCCCAAAACGGTGGGGTGGAAATGTGAATATCAGCATGATGCACAGATCTCTGCAGATGTCCAGCGAACTGAATTTCTAGACGCTATAATCTATGTTCTTTCCCAACCCCCACTTCAGTTTACATATCGCAGGCCATAGATCCTGTTTGTTGAAAAGCGATCAGCTAGAAAACAAGAGTGGTTATAACCTGTGCTGCCCAGTGATCAGGAAAAGAGAGCGGATGAAACTTCCATGACTTTCTGTTAGTCTGATTAATATCCATGCCAAATGTAAGATTAGTTAAAAGGCCTTATTGCTTCCCACCAAAATGTTCCTTCACTAGCTATATACTACACTGAAATGTAAAGTTATGGGTATGTTTAACAGTTTAATTTGTCAGTGGGCATCCAACTCTTCTATTTGTGTTTTTACTTTGAGCTTAATTGGAGCAGACAAATAGAGGTGACCTCTAACTGTTTTCTTCCTGAAGCCATTTTCAGGGCAGAAGTGCTTTACCCACTTCATTGAGAAACCACCTTTGCATGCAGTACCCTGAGCTGTCTTCAGCACACCAAGCATCCACAACATGGGAAATACCGTGCTTTAAATGTTGCTTTAATCACAGTGCTCATGAGTAAGGGCATGTCCTGTCTCTTATCCATGAAAACACTCCCACAAAATGAAGTCACACCCAGTATCTGTTAACGGAGATACTGAGTGGGTGAAGAAGACTCATTCCCTAATGCAATTCAGGTCACACAGGGTAAAAAAGAAAAAAAAATCCTTTTCTGTTGAGGATACAGATGGAGAGAAAATGGAAAATGCCTTTCAGGAAGCACAAGCCTAGTTTTCTAATTGTGTTTCAGTGAACACGCAGGTGAACTTACCTGTGTGGCTTGGTATTGTGGTGGGTTTTCAGCTTCTTCTCCACCAAATCCTTTGAAAAGCAGCAGTGGCAGAAACAAATAACCCAATTAAAAACAATAATAGCAACAATAAAAAAAGAAAAGATGAAGAAAGCAGTGGTTTTCTTTGGCTAGCTGAGGAACTTTCTACTAGGCGTTAGCAATCTCTTTGTAAACTTTTTTCTTTACAGCAAATGCTTCATTCTCTAGACACATGTCAAGAATTTTCAAGCATCGCCAGACTCAATTCTTCACCCCCATGTTAACAATTAAAGAATCAGCCGAATGCCTGTGTTTAAGAATCAAGCCCCTGAAACCTGTGATTTGTACGTTACTCACACCCTCTAGTCCTATTAGCAAGAGATGCTGGGAGAACTTCTTGGTCATCAATTTGATGAGTTCCAAGGGGAATGTGGGTTTTGGTTGTGATGTTCATACACATAGAAATCTGGCTGAACACACGTACCTAAGAGTCTTCCATCTTTCCTTGCTTGCTCTACAGAAAATAAAGACAGAGGGTGTGTAAAATATCATGTATATATTATACAAAGACCTCTTGAAAAGGTAATAAATTCTGGTGATTCGGGGCACAAAGGCGGGAAGCAAATCTTGTTTTATTGCTCAATAATCCATCCTGCTCAGCCTGTCTCCCTTCTTAATTTCTAATCCAGGGGATCTTCCCAAGTCTCTGCCTGGGGCTGTGTTTGGAAAATCAAGGTCACATGAGGCAGGGATTTTTCAGCATCATTGAGGATGGGTGACTCCTATTCAACATAGTATTGGAAGTCCAGGCCAGAGCAATCAGGCAAGAGAAAGAAATAAAGGGCATCCAAATAAGAAGAAAGGAAGTCAAACAATCCTTGTTTGCAGATGACATGATCCTATATCGCAAAAACCCTATAGTCGAGACCCAAAAGCTCAATAAGCTGATAAACAACTTCCGCATGTCTCATTTATAAATGGGAGCTAAATGCTGAGAACTCATGGACCCATAGAGGGGAACAATCACACTGGGTCCTATTGGAGGGTGGAGGGTGGGAGGAGGGAGAGGATCAGGAAAAATAACTAATGGGTTACTGTAGGCTTAATACCTGGGTGACAAAATAATCTGCACAACAAACTCCCATGACACAAGGTTACCTAATAACAAACCTGCACATGTACCCTTGAACTTGAAATCAAAGTTATATTTAAAAAATAACAATACAATAGATGACCTGAACACTTCTGTTTTGAATAGCTCAATCATCAGCCATCTGTGGTCATGAAAATGTCCCAGGTAATTCCTCTATGTCCTTCCAGGTCTATTTATTAAATATGCCAATGTCTCAATAGAACACACACTGAGGCCTTACTAGCCCAATATCTGCTCTTCTAGCCATCCCATCTTAATAAATTAAAATACTGTCTCATTTTCTTATTCTAAAAATCTTCATTTGCTTAATATTATATGTGCTTAATATCAACAATATAATACTATTATTTCAACAATAATTTCTATTTTAAAAACTTTTGGGATTTGAGTAATTTCTGTGTTTTTTTTTTGACAGTTATTTTTCCAGTCCCCTGTGTTCTTGACAACTGCCTCTTGAGCTTGAGAGCTCATTCATATTTTTCCTGATCCACTCATTTGCATGACTTTATTGAGCATAGTTGTTGCTTTTCAATCTCAGTACACGTCCTGTGAAAGTTTCAACTTTGCTAGGATTATGGATGTGAATGCTTTTATAGTACTGAAAAGATGAATTTTCTTACTGCTAAGTTGAAACAGCATTTTGCTCATTTCTTTTTTTTTTATTTTTTTAAATGGCAGTTTTAATCTGCAGCTGTTTCCTAGGGGATTTTCTTTTTGTACTTATTAATCCTGGTTTTATATTTGAGCCTGGGTGGCCAAATATGTTTTTCAGAAAATACTCGTATGAATACAGGTGTTTTCTTTGAGACTTTTTTTTCATACTTTTCCAAAGAATGTTCAGCCACCAGATAATAAAATACAGGAATTGCATGTGACTTACAGATATTCCCCCACCTTTGCAAAATTCATGTCGAAAATTGACCTTTTCTCACTGGTTGTTAATATTGTTAAGTAAGATCTCTCATGCAATGCCAACATAAGATGTCACTGACAAAAGGAAGGAAACAGAAAGTGAGGATAAGTTGTTCAGTTTCTATTAATAGGCAGTAGAGTATGGAAAAGTAGAGAAAACCTGAAATTCAATATGGATTCCATTAATTAAAATAAAATGGCTAATCTCTTAGAGCTGGAGGCTATTATTCTTTAGCAAACTAAGGCAGGATCAGAAAACCAAATATCACATGTGCTCAGTTATAAGTGGGAGCTAAATCATAAGAACTTATGAACACAAAGAAGGAAACAACAGACACTCAAGTCTACTTCAGGGATGAGAATGGGAGAAGGGAGAGGAGCAGAAAAGATACATATTGGGGCCAGCACCCTGGCTCAGGCCTGTCATCCCAGCACTTTGAGAAGCCAAAGTGGGCAGATCACCTGAGTTCAGGAGTTCAAGACCAGCCTGGCCAACATGGTGAAACCTCATTTCTACTAAAAATACAAAAAAATTAGCTGGGTGTGGTGGCACACACCTGTCATCCCAGTTACTCAGGAGGCTGAGGCAAGAGAATCGCTTGAACTCGGGAGGCGGAGGTTGCAATGAGCTGAGATGCGCCACTGCATTCCAACCTGTGCAACAGAGTGAGGCTCTGTCTGAAGAAAAAAAAAAAAAAGAAAAGATAACTATTGGGTACTGGGCTTAATACCTGGGTGATGAAATAATATGTACAACAAACCCCCATGACATATGTTTACCTATGTAAAAAACCTTCACAAGTACCCCAAAACCTAAAACAAAAGTTAAACAAAAATAAAAGAATAAAATTTTAAAATTTAAAAAATAAATAAAATTTAAAACTAAAAAAAGCAATGGCTAATCTCAGTGAATTAAACTTCTATGTAAAGAAAGCATCCCTCAAATAAAACATAATATTTTTACAAATAAAAATATTTTTACATGTTTTGAAAAGACTTCTAGAAGTCAAAAACAACAGAAAAAAACCACAAGAACAAAAAACACAAAAGCAAACAACAATGAAACCAACAACAAGCAGATGTTGTTATAAATGTCTGTAAAAACAATGAGCAGTGTTTATTACAAATAAGGGCAGCTACATTCTTATTTCCTTCCATGGGAGACTGGGGGGTTGTGCTATTTTTGGTACTTTCCTCTTGGCCAACAGGTGCGTCATGTTGGAATCATTCC
Organism: Homo sapiens; assembly: GCF_000001405.40. Classification (NCBI taxonomy): domain Eukaryota; kingdom Metazoa; phylum Chordata; class Mammalia; order Primates; family Hominidae; genus Homo; species Homo sapiens. Next base: position 126,866,325 of record NC_000012.12, on the reverse strand, counting down.
TGAACCACTCTCTCCTGGCTTCCTTCATGCTCTATGGGATCACTGAGGTGGTCTTTATAGTCTCAATTTCTACCCTCGATATAAGGGCATCAATTTCACACAAGCCTAGTCTCACACCAAGGGCAATAACTGTCCACCGTACCTTACCAATATCAAAGAAGTAAACATCTGTCCAATTCTTTCTAATTGCAAACAGCTCTTTGTCATGAGATGGGTATCAAGGCCCTTGGCTGAATTTATTTCTATGAATTAGCACTGAGCCAGTACCAGGCCATATATAAAACCGTTCCTAATACTTCAGCAATGCCTATGTGGGCTGTGTTAAAAGCATACCCTGTCTTATTACATATTTGCATTTGATTTTCAGGCCTCTGCCACGAGAGATCTTATTAATAATCCCCTGACAAATTATTCGGTGGTAAATTACCCTCTATTGCTGACCAAACTCACAGCTCCAACTCTCTGAAAAACAGAAAGCATGTAGGAGAATTCAAACATAAGGAAGTTTTGTTCGTTTGTTTGTTTGGTTTTGAGACAGGGTCTCGCTCTGTCGCCCAGGCTGGAGTGCACTGCTGTGATCATAACTCACTGCAACCTCTGCTTCCCAGGCTCAAGCAATTCTCCTGCATTAGCCTCCTGAATAGCTGGGAATACAGGTTTAGACCATCACACCTGGCTTGGTGATCCAAAAAACTTAAAAAATTGTTGTAGTTTTTTGTAGAAATGGAGTCTTACTATATTGCCCAGGCTGGTCTCAAACTCCTGGGCTCAAAGAATCCTCCCACCTTGGTCTCCCAAAGTGTTGGGATTACAGGCATGAACCACCATACCAGGCCCATATGAAAACATTTTATATATGCAAGTCCCCCAGCCCCATATCTTCGCAGACGCACTTGATGTTATCGCTGTCAAACAGGATGGAGTTGGTGTACGGGCTGCCGTCCTCTGGGAGGATGGTGATGTAGGAAGTGAACTTGACTCTCTTCCTCTTTGGGCCTGAAGAATTCATAGGTTCATTTTTAATTTCTTTCTCATAGACATAGTCAACAAGTCTAAATAGTTGACTATGAAAAGTCTTCTGGAAACTGCCGTTGAGAAGGAAGTTCCTCTCCTCGAACTGCAGGCCCCTGTCTATCATGGTTGTGCACTCCTCAGATGGGAGTGTAATGTCAACACGGTTCTCCAAAAGTCCCACTTCATTCCCAAGCCAGACCCAGTTGTGGGAATGGGGAACGTTGCCCTGCTGACTCACAGCAAACCTTTTGTGTCTGTATTTCCAGGAAAATGCCACGCAGTTGATCAAGAAGACCAGAATGGCCGGGAAGAAGACGTAGAGCAGGGCATACATGCCAATCTCGAAGTCCCTTAGCCCCCTTGAGGTCACTAAGATTATTGGGCTCCAATGACTTCTCTTGAGTGGGGAAGCTTGTGAAGCTGTCTGGACCACCATTTTTGAGTCATTTATTCTTTTCTTCCATAGGAGACTGGGGGCTTATGCTTTTGTTGGTACTTTCCTCTTTCAGCATGACCAACAGGTGACCATGTTGAAATCATTCCTGAACTGCTCTCTCCTGGTTTCCTTCACACTCTGTGGAATCACTGAAGTGGTCTTCACAGTTTCAATTTGTGCCCTTGATATCATTGCCGTGTCTTTGGTATTCATTGCTACTTGGTTCAAATTTGACCTCGGCATTTCCTTTACTCATGGCAAGGACACTCTTCCTCTTGGTCTTCAAACAAGGTCACTAATCATCATGTTTACCTTAATCAAAAGCCCTTGGCTTTCACCCTCCACAACCGCAAAGCATCATCTGAACTCAAGACAGACACCACCACTTCATGTAATAATGAGACAGTAACCATCTCATTGGACCTTAAAGGTGACATTGAAACATCACCATACAAAAATTCCAAAAGAAAGAAACCAAAGCTTTTTGTTATGATAAACATATTTCACACTTGCAAAATGTATTCACATAAATGTTGATGCCAAAAATTATTTCAATATACAGAATTAGAAAAATAACCTCTAGTGCTCTGTAAACTTAAACAGTTCTTGACATGCATTGGACAGTCATTAGTGATGCTCTCTATCCCACTGATGTGAAGAACAATACATTTTAATAAGTGCATGGAATTAGGAAGTACACATTAACTTATTTCATGTTCTATGACTGAATTTTATTTTGTCCCTTCTTAAAACATTTTGAAGATTAGGAAATACATCCAAATTATTTTAAACTGCAACTAATTTAGACCACCACTCAAGATAATATGATTTATACCAGAACAGATTGAAAACCAATGCAGATAAGGCAATACAGTCCTAGCCTTTTGCCTTTGGCAAAAGGATGCATTATAATTCCATCCTGCTTGAAAGACATAATGCTCCTGATACCTTTTTTAAATGATCTGCTAAAACTCTAAAGATGTGGGAGCATTTTAGAATTGGCAATAATTATAGTGAATGGGTAGCAATTTGGTACTTACTTATAGAACCTGAAATGGAATTTCTAAGTGTCAAAAACTGCCTGCTTTGGTAAAAGTGGAAAAATAGAATCCTTTTGCCACGGTCTAACAGTAGACGGTCAGCTGCACAGATAAACTTGCTGCAAAGTAAATGGCATTTGGACCTGTGATGGGCATATAAAAAACATCTGAGAGGAAACTTTTTCCATGTCATGGAGCATGGCTGTAAAGGACAGGACAGACTGAACAAAAAGCAGAGAGAAGCTTCAAGAATTTCCATCTCAGCTGCAAGTACTTGATGCTGATCTTCCTTGCAGGGTATGAAAACTGAGAGGGACAAGTTATCCTCTGATATAATTTGTCTGTGTCCCCACCCAAATCTCATCTTGAATTGTACCTCCCATAATTCCTACGTGTTGTGGGAGGGACCTGGTGGGAGATAATTGAATCGTGGGGGTGGTTTCCCCCATACGGTTCTCCGGGTAATGAATAAGTCTCATGAGATCTGATGGTTTGATAAGGGGTAAATCCTTTTGCTTAGTTCTTATTCTCTCTTTTCTGCCACCATGTAGGAAGTGCCTATCACCTTCCACCATGATTGTGAGGCCTCCCCAGACACATGGAACTGTGAATCCATTAAACCTCTTTTTCTTTATAAATTACCCAGTCTTGGCTGAAAGCGGTGGCTCATGCCTGTAATCCCAGCACTTTGGGGGACCGAGGTGGGCAGATCACAAGGTTAGGAGTCTGAGACCAGCCTGGCCAATATGGTGAAACCCTGTCTCTACTAAAAATACAAAAATTAGCCAGGCGTGGTGGCGGGCGCCTGTAGTCCCAGCTACTTGGGAGGCTGAGGCAGGAGAATCGCTTGAACTCAGGAGGCAGAGGTTGCAATGAGCTGAGATAGTGCCACTGCACTCCAGCCTGGCTGACAGAGTGAGACTCCATCTCAAAAAGAAAAAAAATATTACCCAGTCTTGGGTAAGTCTTTATCAGTAGCATAAAAACGGACTAACACACCCTCACCAACTGAAATCTCAAGAGTTTCTGGGAGTCACTCATCTTTAGGAACTTGAAGGATATCCTAGGAAACCACTCTATTGTATCTTTAGATAAGTCAGCCAAGAGCCACACGCCCAGCTCTGTGTTGATGACCAGTCACACAGGAAAATCCCCGTCCCTTAGCCAAGAGGGAGCTAAGAGAGGGGAAAGAGGATATTCAAAAATAAAAGTGAAAACTTGTGTCTCTGCTCCATACGGTCTAACAAACAAAAAGTACCAAATTTGAAATATGTACAGAAAATATGTATATATGTATACACATATATATGTATATGTGTACTGTATAGGAAAACAAATCATAATGACAAGGATGTTTTATTTTTAATCACAACTTTATAACAAAAGACTTAAAATTTTGTAATTGATGTTTATACCAAAATATGTTCCTAATTTACTGCCAAAAGTATGCATTTGCTGAAATGGTTTATTAAAGCAGTTTGTAATTGTTTGATTTCACCTGCCAATAGAAAGATTTCTAAAGAGAACAGCTTACTGCATTTTATTTCTTTGATTCAAATGGTAATAATTTCATACATTTATAAAAGGGCATGAATTAGTTTATTGGTAATAATTTACAATTTCAAAAAGAATGCATATCTTGTTGCTGAATATTCAAAGTGCATGAATCATCACATTAAAAAATTAATATGTATGCTGATAAAATGGAGTAAGTGTAGGCCGGGTGTGGTGGCTCACGCCTGTAATACCAGCACTTTGGGAGGCCAAGGCAGGTGGATCACCTGAGGTCAGGAGTTCGAGACTAGCCTGGACAACGTGGTGAAACCCCATCTCTACTAAAAATACAAAAATTAGCCAGATGTGGTGGCGGGCTCCTGTAATCTCAGCTACTTGGGAGGTTGAGGCAGGAGAATTGCTTGAACCTGGGAGGCGGAGGCCGCAGTGAGCCGAGATTGCACCTGGGCAACAGAGCGAGATTCCGTCTCAAAAGAAAAAAAAAAGAGGAATGGAGCGAGTGTAATAAAACAGTTTAAATGATAGTGCTTAGTTGTCCCTCCGTACTTCATTACCTTCAAGTTTAACATAGATATTTATGGAATGATAATGAGTAGACCTTGAAGACATTCCTAGGTACCCCAGGAAGGCACAATGGAAAAAGGAATTTAAAAATTGTAATGACCTAAAGGCATCAGTCTAAGCAATTCAATATCCACTCGAAATTTAGTTCTAGAATGGAATGTACCATCAATAAAGCAGCTATGGAGAAAATGAATGTCAGGCAACTAACTTGTTGGACTAACACTTTACAGTAACCATTTAGTTTCATTAAGAGTATCTATTGATCAGTCTCCAAAATATTACTCTATATACATTAGCTAGAAAATATTTTCAGTAGTCGTATAAGAAATGATAGGGCACAAGACTCTAGTAATTTTATATTTTGTGCCAAAAATGGAATTTTAAATATGTTTAAATATTTTTATTCACTGTCCAACACCAAGTGCAACAAACGGTTCAACTCCAAAATTAGACAATAAAGACGACCAAAGGTTCCTTGTCTTCCATGGGTAATATACAGAAAGTGAGGGTTATGTTTGAAGAAAAATATTGTTTTTATTTATGTTTTCACTGAGCTTTTCCTGCCAAATTAGGTTACATTGGTGATGTTAGTTTGTTTTTGCTCACCAAAATCCTGTGATGTGGAACTGGCTTGTATGTTCACTCTCATTTCACTGATAATAAAAGGCTCAGAGAATTTAGAAGGTTTGCCTACTCACCCATCTCACAAATGACCTTGGAAAAACCTGATCCCCAAAATCTCTTGGGCCCAAGCCTTAAGTCTGCAGAGGCATCACATGGCCGTGATATGAATTTTGCTCCTTAGAGCTGCCTTCTTCATCAAGGCCACTAGATTCCTTGAAGTCAGACATGCCTGAACTGTGAATGTGTCTAAATGTCCCGGGCCACACTTTATGAGTAGCCAAGTGCAGCCAATGTCGTATTACACAGACAGCTGCACTCCCTGGGCTCAAGGGATCCTCCCACCTCAGCCCCCTGAGTAGCTGCTCTTCACTCTTAAAGACCCTTTAACTACATCAGGTCAGGTCAGCCTGGAATCCAGGATAATCTCCCGATTTTAAAATCAACTGATTAGCAACATTAATCCCATCTTCAACCTTAATACCTCTTTGCCATGTAATGTAACACATTCACAAGTTCTGGGTATTGAGATGTGTACATCTTTGGGGGGATTCTTATTTTGTTTACCACAGGAGATAACTAAAACTTTCTGTCAGTCATTTCATTTTGCTGCTTGGCAGTGGAGCACTGCTTATTTCATCCAGGGCCAGTCCTGTCCCTCAGTGACAAGCCCTGTGCATTGACCAGTCTCAGGCCCAAGGCAGGGGGGTCATGCAGCCATCCTCCTAGCTGCAGTGTTTGTGGAAGGATGAACACATAATCTAAGCAGAGGTTCCTGAGTTCTTCCTTGGGATTTTCCAATCTGGAGCTGACAGGAATGACCCGTTCTTCCTCCCTGATAGAATGTACTGCTACAGTATGAGTTCAGGGCTTCCTGTACTCAATTTTCCTTTGGCTTAGAAAGAACATCTCTGCAGTGCAGAAAATGGAATCAAATTATAGAAACAAAACAGAAGAAAGATCAGGAGAAAGAAGAAGAATGTTGTCTGGTGATGTTGACATCCCAGAGTCCAAGGGAGTCTGTTCTCTTGGCAGATCCATTTGTGCATAGCATGGCTTCATGACAAAATGAATTACCCAGTATTGCTTAAACTAGATTACGGTGAGCTTTCCTGCTTTTCAACCACAGTCCTGAGAAATCCAGACAGAACATCAAGGTTATTTGTTGGGGAACATCAGAGTTGCCAGGAAAAGCCAGAGAAATACTGTTCTGAGGCATGATGAAAAACACAAATCTCAATGGAGGATTTCATTGTCTTCTAAGACGAGGGAGGCAGGGATTAAATCCTTCTCACTCAAACTCTTGAGAAATAGTTTAGATACAAAAATCAAATGCTTATTTTCTATCTTGCTTTTGGAAATCAATGTCACAGGCAAAGCACTGGCATTAGAACTAGATCTTGGCTGGATGCAGTGGCTCTTGCCTGTAATCCCAGCATTTTGGGAGGCAGAGGCAGGTGGATCACTTGAGGCCAGGAGTTTGAGACCAGCCTGACCAACATGGCAAAACCCCAAAACCCCATCTCTACTAAAAATTTAAAAATTAGCCAGGTGTGGTGGTGCGCATCTGTGTTCCCAGCTACTCAGGAGGCTGAGGCATGGGAGTCTCTTGAAGCCAGGAGGCAGAGGTTGCAGTAAGCTGAGATTGTGCCACTGTACTCCAGCCTAAGCGACCGAGCAAGACTCTGTCTCAAAAAACCAAACCAAAACAAAAAAACACCTAGGTCTAGCAGGGGACAAAGGCAATGCAAGCCCATGAGCTCAGAAATAAGTCTCTGCTCCACTGGAAAAGAGATTTACTGAGGCAGAGAAATGTAAATGCTTACAGTGTCAGAACTGGGACACAGGAGGTGGGTTTGAGTGCCAACCACTCCCATCATCACTGTATAATGTAAACTGTGCATCTAGACTCTTAGTGCACTCATTTCCACACCTGCAAAATGATGATAACGTCAAAAAATAATTTACAAAATTATTGGGGAGCAAAGACAGTTAATTCACGCAAAATATTGCTTAGAGCAACTATCTTAGAGTTGGCACATTTTGGGCACTCTGTAATGCATTGGTTTTTAATCATTGCTATTATTATCTACACAATCCCAATTTTTACTAGATTGATTCCCAAGCATGACTCTACTCTCTTCTACCCTTGTTATTATTATTGCTATTTTTAATTTGACTAGCTACCCAATCAGGAAGATGAGGAGAGCAGCCATCAGCCACAAGCCAGGTGTTCTGAGAATCCAACGTCCACATCAGAAGCTAAAGACTTTATTTGACATAAGCTCCTTAGTCTCTCATTCATTCTCTCTTTACACAACAGGATAGACAGGCACATGCCTTCATTTGAGCTTCTATTCTGCCTTGGAAATCAGATACTCAGCCCCAGGCTGTCATCGTTTTCATTTCTCTCATTACGCCCACATGCTGGGGAATCCATTGACTTAAAACATACCATTTCTTGAGCCAATAACTATTTCTAATGCCAAGGAGGGAAAAAAGCACTAATCACTTTTTTCTTTATGGTGTTTAGGGAAATTTTATTTTTATTTTTATTTTTTCTCCTCTAGTGTGTTTACAGTATACCTGTCTTTAATAGTCTTTCTGAAATAATAGTTATGGAAATACTATTATAAAAAAGTGAACTGCTGTTGCTGAAAAGAATTTTATGACAAAGTTACAAGGCAAGAAGTTGCATATGCACGTCCTAAATGGCCTTCAAAGCAACAAGCAAACGCTGCTCTATAGGCAGCTGTGCTGTGTTGAAGTTTAACATATAGTGACATGGTTTGGCTCTGTGTCCACACGCCTATCTCACATCAAATTGTAATCCTCAGTGTTGGAGGAGGGTCCTGGTAGGAGGTGATTGAATCATGGAGGTGATTTCTAATCATGTAGCACCATTCCTCTAGTGCTGTCCGTGATACAATTCTCACAAAATCTGGTTGTAAAAAAGTGTGTGGTGGCCTGGCGCGGTGGCTCACGCCTGTAATCCCAGCACTTTGGGAGGCCGAGGTGGGCGGATCACGAGGTCAGGAGATCGAGACCATCCTGGCTAACACGGTGAAACCCCCTTTCTACTAAAAAATACAAAAAATTAGCCGGGCGTGGTGGCGGGCGCCTGTAGTCCCAGCTGCTCGGGAGGCTGAGGCAGGAGAATGGCGTGAACCCGGGAGGCGGAGCTTGCAGTGAGCCGAGATCGTGCCATTGCACTCCAGCCTCCGCGGACAGAGTGAGACTCTGCCTCAAAAAAAAAAAAAAAAAAAAAAAAAAAAAAAAAAAAAAAAAAAAAAAAAAAAAAGGGGTGTACGGCACCTTCCCCTTCTGCCTCTCTTTCTTTTCTATGGGTCATGCGAAAACATGCCTGCTTCCGCTTTGCATTTCCACCGTGACTGTAAGTTTCCTGAGGCCTCCCCAGAAGCAGAGGCCTGTGCAGTCCACAAAATTGTGAGCTAATTAAACTCCTTTTCTTTATAAATTACCCAGTCTCAGGTACGTCTTGATAACAGCGTGAGAACCAACTAATATATGTAGCCAAGGGAGGTTATGTACCATTCTAGCCTTCCTGTCAAAGCAGCATTAGAAACCATTCATAGGCAGGATTCTGGCCCCTCTTCTCGTGGCAGGTGAATTTTGCTTTATATAAGAGAAGAGTACAAGTTGGCATGTGTTGTGTGTCTGTTACTTGCAGCATCTCATTACTACTTGCCTCTATGCAAGTCTTGAAGTGTGGATTATCTACTCCAGGTACCTACTCTAGTGTCCTACATTCAATCCTTGTTACTTGAACCAACAAGTGGGGTGGCGGTGGGGTGGTGGGGGTCTTTCAGGTGTCCTGCTCTGCATCCAATCTTTCTCAGAAGCACTAGATGGAGACCAGCAAGAAGGAGATGGTCAGTATAAACAAACTTCCCTTATGTCTGTGGTGCTTAGGGATTCTTCCCTATCATGCAATTCCACACTTGACCACCAAGGACCATTAAGATACCTGGCATTTTCTACTAACAAGCTTCTCTGTCACCTTTCCCTCCATGCTCTCACTGACTGTGGAATATGGAAGGATGGCATCCCATTGTCTCATACAACAGGAAGTCCAGAGATTGGTGGCGTCCAAATGGTTCAGCAGCTCAGTGATGTCACTTACTGTCTTTGCATTCTGCCACATTAAGAATTTTTGCTTTGTGATGTTGAACTTATTGCCCTTGGCTACAAGATACTGATCTAAGCAGATGGTTAAGGGACTCCTTGCTACCAAGGCATATGTTATCCAGAAATAAAATATTGCCCAGAAGCCCCCGCAAGCTTTCCCTTGCATCTCGTTTGCTAGAACTGGGTGAACTGCCAGTCTCTTAACCAATTAGAAAGATATAATCATGACCAGTTTAAATTTGAGGATTGGACAAAAGAGGGAGGCTTGACCAGTTTAAATTTGAGGATTGGACAAAGGATGGAGGCTTACTTCCTTGAGGGCAAGAGTTTACTGCCTACAAAATACAAAATCAGGATTCGATGAGCCAGAGTGAAAAGGGGTGAGAGAATATAAAAGCAGGTCTATGTATAGCCTATCAAGGTAAAGAAACATCACAGATACATGACAGACTCCTGCATGCCACTTCTTAACCTCATTACTTTCCTTCTCTCTTCAGCAGCAAATGGTTATTGACTAAAGTGAAAAACATCGTAGAATTTACCAAAAATTTAGGGCAGTATTTAAGTTAGATGTAGTACTGAGGTTTTTTTTCCAGGGTTTCAGAATCACCAAAGCTGTTGTTGGTCCATTTGTTGATTATGAAGATCTTTCAAGTAGGGTTTATTTTTTTAAAAGAATGTTTCCTCAACGTGACCACTTCCCTGAATGTAGCAATATTATTCCCCTTTTTAGGACTTTTCAGAATGGGATGAATTTGTGAATCTAATACTGTTGATTTTATTATCTGCTGCTTTACTTTTCCCCAGCTGTTTTTTCTCTCTGTGCTTCATTTGAAATACTTCTTGTTGCTATGTCCTCAAGTTTACTAATCCTTGATTTTGTAATAGCTATTCTGCTGTTAATCCCATCCCATGTCATTTTCTTCTTAGTCATTGTAATATTCTTCTCTAAAGGTTTGTTTTGTGTCTTTTAAAAATTCCTTTCATGTGTCTACTGAATCATTATCTTCTCAAACATATGAGCCCTATTAATGATAACTGTTTTAGTACCTTTGCCTGATCATTCCATCATTGGTGTCATTCTTTCTGCCAGACTGTGTAAAAGTCACATTATGTTGTGGGATTTTCTTATTGCATTATTGCATAAATATTCATGCACTTTGCTATGAGACAGTTTGGCCTTTTTAATACTTGCTTTTAAGCTTTGTTAGTAAGGACCCAGGCTTACTTTAGCTTAGTGTTAATTTGGCCCCACTACGAATGCACTATCCTTCTTAATACTCAACCTGATGCTCCATGTACTAGTCAGTTTCTCCATTTTCATTGGTGGAAACACAAACCATTTCTGACACTGTGTGAGAATAATATTTCCCCCTGCATCTCTCCCTTTTTTAATATACTAGTCTCCATTATTGTATTTAAGTTCTTATACTAACTCTGTAAGATATGAACTGTCATTCCCAGTTTTTAATTGATACATAATAGTTGAACATATTTGGGGGGTACATGTGATATTTTGATATAGGCGTACAGTGCGTAATGATCCAGTCAGGGTAATTAGGATGTCTATTACCTCTAACAGTTTCTTTCCTTACATTAGGAATATTCCCATTTTTCTAGTTATTTTGAACTACACAAGAAATTATTGTAAACTATAGTCACCATACTCTATTAAATACTAAATCATATATTCTTTCTAATTGTATTTTTGTACTCATTGACCAGCCTCTCTTCATCCACGCTTCCCTCTCACCCTTTGGTCCTTCCCACAGCTCAGACCATTTCTCTGCATTCATACATTGATCAGCACTTAGCTGAAGACTTGAAAGGAACTCTCTGTGGGAATGAGAAATGTCTCCTCTCTCCCTGTAAAACAAAAACAGAAACAAACAAACAAAAACCACCTCTTTTGTCTACGGCATCCTATGAGCTCCAGCTGCCTTGGTCTCTTTGGATTTCCATGTCTATCTTCTCAAATCTGAAAACTACTGGGCTCTGCTTGGATTCCCCTCTCTGAGTTGTGCCTTGGTAATGTTCTCCAGGAAATAAGCTGGAACAATGATAGGACTCAATTAATTTGCTTTCCTTAACACAGGGATTAATATACTGTACCATCTAATGCCCAATGACTGAAAGCAGTTGTTTTATTTTATTTTATTTTAACCATTTCTTTAGTTATTTCAAGTAAATGGTTACATTTAGTCCCTGTTATTCTATCTTGACCAGCTACTGACACATCTCATGAGCTCCTTTATTTTTATCATTTTATCCCTGACTTTTGGAGATTAAAAGACATCATCAGCACATGCTAGCTTAGAAAATGATCCAGGCACTCCTAATTCATTAAGTGATTGCCACAAAAGGGATCAAGACCTGTTTGCCTTGGTAAAGCCTGACATATGGTACCAATGTGCTTCTTGCATCCTTTGGATCACTGCTAATGCAGAGCCTGCTGCTCATAGAAGCATTTTTAATTATGTGCCATTGGCACAAACACTGAAACAACAAGCTTAAGTGTTCAGGGTTTGCACAGGAAATTCTTCAAAGGAAAAAGAGAAAGAAAAGGTCTATAGGATTCACATTTTCCAAATTTTTGTTGAAGAATATTTATTTAAAGAACTATGTTGAAAACACTTGGCAGAAGCATGCTAATGCTGCCCACAGCAAAGAGAAGTTGAATTTTAAAACTTACACTCTAGTGAATACCTCCAAAGAGGAGCCAAGCAATTGATCATCAAGCCAGGCTCACATGGTTCATGGAGGCAAGCTTGGTGCAGGAGTAATCCCTTAAATATAATAGGATGATTCAACAGAATACACTCCTTTATTGGACTTTGAATTCATTCTACTATGGGGAAAGCTATTTGGAATCCATGGGTATAAAAGCCTTTGTCCTGAACAACCTGGGATGTTGAGCTCCCAACTCTCACCAGTGTCATGAAGACATTATAGTTACTCCATACTCTAAACAACTCTTATATATAAAATCTAGATTCTCACTAGTGATAAATTACAATAGTGCTATTCATTACATGTAAATACATTTAACAATTGTGCGATAGGCAAAATTTTCCAGACCATTATATACACAGAGAGTCTTACCAGGTGCTAGTGAAAATAAATGAGCAGCAGTTAAAAGCAAAAATCTCTGCAGGGACAGGACAGGTAACATCAATCAGAGAAGCAGATCTGATGTTATTTAATTGGCAATGTAGGGTGTGTGCCTATCTGGGATTAGAACGTCCATCCCTAGGGGCAGCCAGCACTCACTGCAGGATGTTGACACCAGTGTCTGTGTGTGTGTGTATTTTAAATTGCGGTAACAACATTTGACATAAGATGTATCTTCTTAATTTTTAAAGGTATACAATATACCTGCAGGCACAATGTTGTATAGCAGATCTCTAGAGCTCCTTCATCTGGTATAACTAAAACTTTGCACCCACTGAATAGCAGCTCCACATTTTCTCCTCTCCCCAGTTCCTGGCAACCACCATTATGCTCTCCGCTTCTGTGAATTTGACTATTTTCGATATTCCTTGAATATAAGTGGAATCTGTGCAGTAACTCTTGTTGTATGACTGGCTTATTTCACTTAGCATTATAGAGCTCCTGATTTTTCAAGACAAGTTGGAAATAGAGCCTTTCATTGACATCTGCAAACTTTTCAATTTCAGCCAGCAATTATGAATGAATTATTGATGTGTATGTAAATGCTTTACTGACCAAAATAAGCCATTCTCATAAGCTGCTGCTTAGAACCTAAAGAAACTTCTGAAAATATGACTCCAGATGCCAGTGGAAAGAAAAAGATATGGGTTTGTTTGCTTGTTTAACTCTAATAAATTAACTGGTACAAATCTAGGCCTCATTGCCATCATGATGCAAACATAGTGCTTGTTGGCTTCCCAGAAATAGAAAATTGGTTCATCTACCTCAAATATATTTACAGTTACTTTACTTCCTTTTATATTTTTCTTTTCTGTGTGCGTGGTTAAGAGTACTTAAACTCTCTTAGCAAATTTCCAACATAGAATACAATTTTATGAACTGTGTTTCTTACGTTGTATATTGGAATTCTAGACTACATTTTTAGCCTTTTGTTACTATGGAATATTTTATGATTTCATTGTGAATTAATTTATTCATTTTTCTTTTTGTCATCTCCAAAGTACTGATTTTCCAGTGATGTTCTTGCACACAGACATCCTTTTATGTGGCACTCTAAACCGGCAAGCCTCCCAGCTTTCCTCCTTTCTTATTAAATACAGTCATGGGCTTTTCTCTTCCCTCTTCTGGCCAAACCCTGTGTCAGCTCATCTCCACCCTAGCGTCACTCACATGGGTATGCACAACGTGCCCAGGTTTTCATCTCCTTTCATCTTTTGTGTCTGCTTTACATTTATGAGGATCACCATTGGGCTACATCTCTTCTGATGATAGCCCTGGCAGTCCTGGGCTTGCCTCCTCTCAGGTTAGAAAGCCCTGCTTTAAGAAAGCACCCCATTCCCTAAGAATTTTAACGTAATCCTAGCAAAGTCTTTGCATGATGTTCTCCAAAGACCACCAGGATGGCTAAATAGTAGAAATGAGAGTTTTATTGGTGATATCAGTTTGCAAATCAGGAAGAAATGTCTCTGGTGTGTGCTAAAGGTGCTCTCTCTCAGAAGAGGGAAGGGGTCGGTTGGCTTTCATACCTCACACAATGGAGTCGTATATATACAGAAGGATTCCAGGAAAAGCGAAAAGCTACACATATTTATGCAGGGAACTGAGTGCACACACAATGGGTAAGCATATATGTTACATATATCCCATGTTCACTTTGGAGAGGGGTTTTAGCATTCAAATGATGTGGAATTTGGCTTCTTACATCAAAAGGTAAGCTATAGGGCTTGATGACGGTTTATGCGTAGCCTCTATAAACCAGCTTAAAGTCAGCAGTTGCTTACTGGAAAATAATGTTTGCAAGGCCAGTCCTCTGTCCAATCAGAGTTGTAGAGGTCTGGTGTATAAATCAGAGTTAAGTACAACACTGATTTAATTTGCCTGACAGCTCCTACAGTTAGGGAGTTTAGTGATAGTGTGGTCTTTTTTGGAGCCCTAGGAATTTAGGAAGTTGCCAGGCCAGCCAAGCCCTGAACCGTGGAAACATAGGTAACTTGTTTCATTAACGTTAGGGTCATCTTTGTTGATAAGGGGGTGTCTAGGTTGGTCTCTCAGATCACAGTGGTAAAACTTGGATATGTCCATTTCTGAACTACTCACTTTGGCCAGGAAGATGGAGTGCTGGCTGGCCATGTTTCATCTATGGCTACCCTGGAATCCAGCCCTTCAGAAGCCATGGGGTATCAGAGGAGTTGTTCGCAAAGAGAAACAGAAGGAAACGTATATAAGGAAAGAATATTAAATGCTCACTTCACCATGCCCAATCTCTGTGAAGAGGTCATATTATGCAGGATAAAAGATGCTGGGGAATAAGAAGATTTCATATTTATATTGCATATAGGCATAGTTCTATGTACCATACATATATTAGTTCATTAATCCCCTTAAAAATGAGATAGGTGACATTATTATCCTCAGATTATACATGAGAACACTGAAAAATGGAATGCCTAAACACTTTGCCTCAGATCACACAGGTAACATATGGTAGACCTGGGATTTGCACTCAGGAGATCTGGCTCTAGGGCCCATGCTCTTCACCACCACTGTCTCTAATACAGGGACCATGGTTCCTGTTCTGGCCATTAACTCTGGGACCTCCAGCAAGTCAATCACTCCGAATGGCAAAGCCCTCTTAAGAAAGCATGATAGTAATTGCTCAGCCAACTTCATGAGATTATTATAAGAATACAATTCAATAGTCACATCAGTCGATTAATAAATGTTGATGTCACCAAGCAATGTCTGACACTAGATGTCCAGGTGAATGAATAAGGACATCACCTTGTTCATTCGTAATGTGCAAAACAGAATAAAAATGTAAGACAGTATGCTTTTTTTTCCCCTCTGCTCTTAACAAGCATTCCTTTGGTTCCTTGGATAACAGTCCACGAGGGTCAGTTAACTAAACCAGGACAGTATTTCCAAAGTGAATTGAAGACATAAGTAAGCATCCTTTCCCCTTCAGTGCTCACTAGGGGTCATGATTGAGTGGTGTTCAGCCATAACTGGGCTTCTTTTACTTGACTTTATAAGGTGCTGTTAGTCACATCTGTGGAGGCTGTCAAATTCTCTCTCTTGACATCTTGACAATTGCACTGACATGTAACATAGGACATGGACATTCTGAAGAAAGACTGACCAGTAGTCATCTGATCAGTGGATTAAATATGGCCACAGAAATGGCCGAGAAGACAGGCCAGCCTTCCAGGATAGCTGTTTGTAAGTGCTGATGGTTCCCACTGTTTTGGTCCCATCTTAGAACACTATTCTTTCCAGTAAAGAGGTTTTTTTTTTACAACAAAGACAGCAAGGGTTGCAGGAAGTTAAGTTTTTCCTAACTCAAGAGTTGACACTAGCTGACATTTGATGAAGCCTTGACCTATTCTTTGAAAAGTGTGTGTGTGAGCTCCCTGCAAGGTGTTGGCAATTAGCCTGGAAGCCCAGGTGGACATATTTGCACTCTTTCCAATTCTGGAGATACCTGACTCCTCCTTCATTCTTCATGCTCATCTGGAATCATAGAAGCTCTCAGTTGTTCTCTGCTTGTGACATGCAAAGTAATGCCACCCCCACCCCATCCCGAATATTTCCATGTCCTAATCTCCATAGCCTATGAATTTGTTAGTTTGCATGGAGAAAGTAAGGATGCAGATTGAATTAAGGTTGCTAATCAGCAGACATGGATGATATGGTTTGGCTGTGTCCCCACCCAAATCTCATCTTGAGTTGTAACTCCCATAATTCCCACATGTTGTGGGAGGAATGTGGTGGGAGGTAATTGAATCGTGGATGTGGGTCTTTCCCATGCTGTCTTCCCGTGCTGGAGATATGACGGTTTAAGAAAAAAACGAGAGTTGCCCTATACAAGCTCTCTTTTTTCCTGCTGCCATCCACATAAGATATGACTTGTTCCTCCTTGCCTTCCACCATAATAGTGAAGCTTCCCCAACCACGTGGAACTGTGAGATCTCCATTAAACTTCTTTCCTTTGTACATTGCCCAGTCTTGGGTATGTCATTATCAGCAGCGTGAAAATGGACTAATACAATGGAGATGCAGAAATTATCCTGCGTTACTCAGATGGGTTGAATGTAATCACAGAAGTGCTTATAAGTGGACACAGGAGGCAGAACAAGAAAGATGACAGCATGAGAAAGACTCCTGCTGACTTTGCTGGCTTTGAAGACAGAGAAAGTGTCCGTGGGCCCAGGAATCTACGCAGCCTCTAGAAGCATGGAAAGGAAAGGAAAGAGATTCTCCCTTAGATCCTCCAAAGGGAACGTGACTGCAGACTGCTTTATTTTAGTCCAATGGGGCTGACTTCAGACTTCTGACCTCCAGAACATTTTGAGTGGCTTTATTTTAGTAATCTCTCTGATCTGTGAAATGAAGATCACATTAGAGTCTGACCCATAGAATGATTTGAAAGGTCAAGTGAGATGTGTGGAGGAAGTGCTGAGCACAGTGATTGGAACAAGGTAAAAATTAATATCAATAACTATAGTCATCATTGCCATCAACATCATTATAAGAAATGAGATGCCCACAATTAATTTAGATCAAGTGTATTATTTGATTTTTTGGAATCTTGGAATGTGGTTTTAAAAGTCAAATTCTTTCTTCCATTGACAGTATGGCCAATTTTGTTATGAGCTTAACTCCAGAGGGCATAAAAAAATCTTACACTGGTACATGTTTTAATTCTGAAGAGTCGACAGATTGGGAGCTACATGTATTCTGGGACCACTTTATAATTTTTTTAAGTGCTGGGTTTTAAGTTTTATTTGTTTTTGAGTTTTGTCTTCCAGGAATATAAATAATCTTTCTATCATTTACTTGTTTTTTTATCTCCAAAGATGGGCAGGATGAGTTGCAACATAAGGAGTAAGCTAGGTGGTTTTGAAGTATTGGCCTGTTACCCTCATGTCTTAAAAATTCACGGAGGCGGAGCTTGCAGTGAGCCGAGATCGCGCCACTGCACTCCAGCCTGGGTGACAGAGCAAGACTCCGTCTCAAAAAAAAAAAAAAAAAAAAAAATTCACTTGAAGTCTTGAGCAGAGTGGGGTAGATGGAAAGCCTTCCGGTTTTATGCACTTGTGGATTTATGAACTGAAATGAACTTCCAAGATACAGAGTGGAAGATGGGCTTCCGAGATGCCGGAGCTGGGGCAGAGTGGCTGCTCAGGGACCACTAGGCCTGATGCCCCCTGATCTTGGTCCAAGAAGGAGGAGCCCCTGATGTTTCTAAACATTTGCTTAAAGGGAAGCACATAGGTTAGTGATGCAGACCCTTTTAGAAAGGTAAATAAAACTTTCCTACAGCAGGATTTCTTCCAGCACGATAGGGAATCAAGATTCCATGCCCAGCAGCTTCCTCCCCTTGCCATCAGAGTCCTGATTCTTTCACTTCTGCTGAACTCCCTTAATTCTAAATGTCAGATCAACGTGAGTTTCTTTTCTTCTTGTGATGCCACCAAGAAGTTTGTGAGGACAGAATGTGACCTAGATTTGCATTTATTTTTCTTCTTATTTGTGCCATAAATGAATGGCATTTGCATGTGGGTTGAAGCTAACTCTTAGGTATTTTTAGTCGCATGACAATAACAACCACCAAAATTGTCTGACAGTACATTGGAGAGACAGCTGGACCCTCTGAGAGATTCAGGCCTCATCTCTCATCGATCTCTTTAGCTTCACTACCTCTCATGGTGTCTGTCCGGTGAGCTATATGTTTTCAGCAAATGTCAACTGAAAGGATGAATGGATGACATCCTCATGGCCAAAGTAAAAGGGCTGCAGGAACTCAGTGAGCATCAGTCTTCCTTAGCATCCTACCTATGTCCACTCAATCCTATCCCACCTGAATTTGTGGGGCGAATATTATTTGCAAGGCACTGCTGTTTTTGATGCTGGCTGGGTGTGTTATAACCTATTAATTTGTTGGCCTTTTGGCCTGTCCTTATTCTCAAGATGGCAAGTCCAGGAGAGCAGGGACCTTGTCAATCTTGTGTATCATCATCGCTCACCACTCTGCCTGGCACTTAGAAGATATTTTATAAATATCCAATAAGTATTATTCAAATGAAAAGCATGTGTTCCCTTCCCCTAAGGAGCCCATGTGATCTATCAGTAGAGAATATCAGTGCCACAAGACGATGCCCACCATTGTGGATTAACAGGGATCTTGGAGTCAAGTGTAATTGGTTTCTAATTCTGGCTCAGCCACTGCTCCCTGGGAGATCTTTGTAAATTCTACCATTTAAGGCAACCTTGGTATCAGAGCTCTTCTTTTTGTAGCTGTTGCATATTAACCCAGGAAATTCACTGCTATTTCAAAGCCAGTGATTTTCTCCAGAGGTGACATCAGATTCTATTTCTAGGAAAGGAGCTCCCTGCATATTTCCAGGCAAGCAGCAGGTAACTTTAAATTTCCTCTGAGAGCACATCTGTCAGAAGACACTCAGCCTCGCCTTACTCATCACAGACTAAGTTTGGAAACAAGATGTTTCCTTGGGTGTAGGGAAGGCTTTCAAATGTGAAATCTCTTTTATAATTCTTTAGCATCTCGTTAGTGCCTAGTGAAGCTGAAACTGAAAGCTGAAAAACTGAATGCTTGCAGAGAGAAGTTGGCAAGCACTATCGTCAAGGTGACCATAATTGTACTTTTCTTAGTCTTATGGAAGAAAGAGTACATCCCCAGCTGATAATGTATGATATGCTTCTGGGACCCTAAGAAGCCACAAATTATTGATGAACAATACAATTACTAACACATAAATACACGAGCTCACCAGTTATCCAGAACCGTATATGTTTATATATCACCTTATATCCAGAACCGTATATGTTTATATATCACCTTATATCCAGAACCGTATATGTTTATATATCACCTTATATCCAGAACCGTATATGTTTATATATCACCTTATAGTCACACTATGAAAGCCATAGCTGTGTTCTTCCTTCCTGTGAAGACATTCAAAAAAACTTGGCAAAGAGAAGAAGTCATGCTTTCCAGGTGATATAGTTGGAAGGAGAAAGGCATCTTGCAAATTTATAACTAGCACATCATCAGCTAACTAGTTCCTTTGTGGAGAAATAGAGGAGGGGTATTTGCTACTCTTTCATAAGGGCAACCCCCAGGCCCTGAGGCCCTGCATGATCATGCTGAGTGGCACTTCATTAATGGCCAGTGGTGAATAGATTTGGCTCTGGAGCTAGAAAGCATAGCGGAACCCCTGGCTCCACCATGCTCAAACCGTGTGGCCTTAGGTAAGTTACTTCACCTCTCCATGACTCTGTGTTTCTCATCTATAAGTGTTGTCATAAGTAGAATTACCTGATTCAAAAGCTCGTGTGGATGAAATGAGCCAATACCTCTCGTGTGCTTAGCATCTGGCACTTACGTGCTCACTAAATGCTAGCCATTCAAAATCATTAGTTTGACTGCAATCGCCTAAGGAAGAACCACGTAAATTTCATGATAGTAACTGTCTTGGTACATTTCCCTACACAAAGAAGGTAATTTATATATCTCTATCTCTATCTATCTATCTATCTATCTATCTATCTATCTATCTATCTGTCTGTCTATCTATATATTTGGAACAAAAACATTTCATGAAATCTGAAGAAGACTTGGATCCTAATCCCTAAAGTATCAAGACAGGTCTTCATCCAGTAAAACCTGTTCAACAAAGATGATCTGATGACATACACTAATTACTGATACCAAAGATTGTGTTAGGATTTTTCACACATACTCACATGTTATTATTATGCTACATCTGCCACATTCTCATGATGCAAAGTAATTGTTGGACCTAATTACAGAACTTTACGTTCATCCATGCTGATTTTACTCCACTAGGCACAAGGTTCCAGATTGCCAATGAATTTTTTTTCCAAAGTCTGGATTCTAATACATTTCTTTCTCTATTACCCAAAAGGCATACAGTCCTGGGACACACAAAACATAGTTTATTTTCATATTACCATAATTTATATTATCACTTCAATTGACACCTTCGCCTTTAGCTAATGCACAATCTCTACTATATAAAATAATTTCTTAGAGGTGCTTTGTAGGGATCTTTAATAGTCCTTTTAAGACCTTCCCTGGAGGCCAGGCATGGTGGCTTACGCCAGCAATCCCAGCACTTTGGGAGGCTAAGGCGGGCGGATCACCCCTGAACAGCATGGAGAAACCCCATCTCTACTAAAAATACAAAATTAGCTGGGCATGAAGCGCATGCCTGTAATCCCAGCTACTTGGGAGGCTGAGGCAGGAGAATCGCTTGAACTAGGAAGGTGGAGGTTGCAGTGAACCGAGATCATGCCATTGCACTCTAGCCTGGGCAACAAGAGCGAAACTCCATCTCAAAACCAAACCAAACAAAACAAAAACAAAAACAAATTCCCTGGAAATCAAACCAAATTTCCTGTGTTGTTGAAGAGTGATGACACCACGAACAAGGATCTTATACAGGATGCTAATAAGTGCTTCACACTTTTAGAGGTGCCTCATGATGATTTCAAAGTAATGCAAAGAAGAACACAGCTCCTTGGAATTCTCGATTCATTGTGGAGTCACGGTATAATGTATTATTAATGTACACATTAAAATTATGACAAGCATATCACAGCTAATTAATTAGATCCCCTCAATTTACATAGGTCCCAGGTTTCCGACAGAATTGGGTATTGCCCAGCAAAGTATTAACATTGCTCGAACATGGTGGCCTGCAGACCACAGGGGTTTCCCCTGAGCAGCAGGCTAAACTGTAACCTCCTGTCATGGTGTGCTGAGAAGAAACCCCCATCATCATGCAGTAGCAAAAGTGACAGTTGAGCCAAGGGCTATTGTCTTCCAAAGTGATATATTTAGCAGGCTAGGCAGGGGATAATGTAAACAAAGTCCTATGGATGAAATTTGTGTTAACCAGATTTCTTCAGACAAAGAACAAATAGGAGACTAGATATGGATAGATAGGTAGGCAGATAGATAGATAGATAGATACATAGATAGATAGAAGACAGATAGATAGATAATTGTGAGGAATTGTCTTTCATGACTATGGGCAATCTGCAAGCGATAGATCTAGGAAAGCTAGTGTTGCAAATTCCAATCCAAAGTCAAAGGCCTGAGTCCCAGCCCAAGGGTAAGAGAAGCCCAATGTCTCAGCTCAGACGGTCAGGCTGAGAGAACCAATTCAACCTTCCTCAACCCTTTTCTTTTATTCAGAACCTCAAAGGATTGAATGACACCCACCCAGTCATATTTAAGAAGGCTATCTGCAGTCGGCCAAGTCAAATGCTAATCTCATCCAAAAATACCCTCACAGACACAGTCAGCATATAGACACAAACCGCATTCAGAAATGCTATTTACTAAACTGAGCACCCCATGACCTAGTCAAGTTGACACGAAATTAACCATCAGTGAACTCAACCAAGAAGACTGCAACAATGGGACAAAGCCCACCATGGGCTGAATCACCTCTCTTAGGTTATGACAGTAAGGGTCCCAGCTCATTGGGCTCTATTTTAGGCTCTCTGTAGGAAAGAGAAAAGACCCAGGGAATTTCCAGGGCAATTCTTCTTCAGCGTACACACACGAGGACACCAACGCCCGATGCAGTGATTCATGTCTCCCTTCTGCCATGACGAGTGTAGGAATAGCAAATAATATGCAGAGTCAAAGGCAACCAAGGGCAACAACTCATTCACATTGTGATGTATTCATATTCCTCCATTAACATTTTAAATGCATTCATATTCCCCTGCAGAGAAGAGGAATATGAATGCATCAAAATGTGGATAGGTTGCTGCAGTTCTTTTCAAACCCTGGTTTGTTGCCAATGCCCTTCCACTTGTTTAGCTTCTGCAAGGCTCACATCATACACAGATCGCATCGACATTCCAGGCAGCTATTGAGCTAATTTCATCTTGAAAAAGTGGTCTCCACAACCAAGAAATACGTCATGCTTAACTGGAACTTCCAAATTAAAAAACATAAGCATTTATCATGCAATATCATTTGTTTCATATCAACACTATCAATAACTTCAGGGGCAGTCTCCTTCAAAAGTTCCCAGGTCTAATTTTAGACTATGAGAAGAAATTAACCGCTCTTACAACTTTTATACTGGAGGACACAACTTTAAGGCTCTTCTGTCTACCTTGAAGTTCTTACGATAGAGGTAAACTTAAATTCAACCTCTGACTAGGAGAAAATGAAATGTGAGGAAACACAGAACTCAGCATTGTTAAGGTTTTCAAAAATCAACAAATAGATGGAGGCTGAGGGGCTCCTTTGAACAAGTTAAAGGAGGAAGGATGTTTCTGAGGACCCAGCTCTGTTTCCTAAGAGCTAACCTCTGAGGTCTCTGCTGCAAAAGGAAAAGACCAACCAAAGTATTTTAAAAAAATAGGCAGAAACACAAAAGACTGTGATTCAAACAGACCCTCGGAAAGAAATTGAGAGAACCACGGACTGGATCCTACTTGAATTTAGAGACATAAAGCTGGCCAACTAGAATAAGAAACAGGAGACATGTTCTTAGGGCAGAATTAAAATGTGTTGATATTCAGAATAATGTCAGGGGGTACACGGATAAACATTTCATTTTAATAGTTAATTATTTTTATGCGTATTAAAAATACTAAAGAGCATGATATTATGTGATCGTATTTATGACTTTGAATTAAGCTAGCATTTGTTGTTAAGTTATAAAGTTGGTTTACTTAAAGAAAAGTATCAAGAAGGTGAATGCAAGAGGTCCATGGAATTGGCAATCATTATGGTGGTGGCATATGAATATGGTTTAGGAAATATTCTTTTAATAGGAAGGACTCGAAATAGTTACTTCTTCTTGAGATTAGGATCCAGGCCTCCCCCATTCTGGGCAGAGGAAAGTTGATCCCAGGAGAATTTCTGCTGTAGGTTTTCACTCCTTAGTGTGGGCTTCTGGCTTCCAGACACTCAGAGATTGGGTGCTCAGTCAGAACAGATTTGGGAAGGGGCACAATGACACATGGGATATTTAGGAGATGTATGGACGTGGCCTGAATTGCAGAGTGTGATGATGAGGCCAGAACTATCTTCTCAAACTGCCACAACATCGAGAGGAACCAAAGCAGCTTTTCCAGTGACAATGGCCGTGAACAAAACTTTTATGACTTAAAAAGAATATAGCAGGATAGCAAATATGAAAATTGTAGGAGGGGCAGGAGAGTGACTAACTCAGCTACCATGCTGCCTTTCTTTCCTATGCAATTTAAAAGAGTTGTTACACTCACAGCAAAGAGACTATTACGAGCCATTGGATGGTATTCTGTCCTAAACTGAGATGACCAAGCAGGCTTGCTGGACTAAGACAGTCTCAGTCAGCCACCAGCACAGCAAGGCCAGTTACTACAAGTTCGAGATTTCCTGCTTTACTCAGCCTCACCACCCATAGAATCTTGCAAATACTCACAGCGACATCTAACACAGCGCAATCAGATCATATTTTTTGTTTATTTTTTTTCTTCTTTCCTTCCTTCCTCCCTCCCTCCCTCCCTCCCTTCCTCTCTCTCTCTCTCTCTCTTTCTCCCAGGCTGAAGTGCAGTAGCCCAATGGCTGCTCACTGGTGCCTTGACCTCCCAGGCTCAAGTGATCCTCCCAGCTCAGCCTCTCGAGTGGCTGAGACTAAAGGCACGTGCCACTACGTGAGGTTAATTTTTTTATTTTTTGTTTTTTGTAGAGACAGGGTTTTGTCATGTTGCCGAAGCTGGTCTTGAACTCCTGTACGCAAGCTGTCCTCCTGCCTTGGTCTTCCAAATTGCTGGGATTACAGGTGTGAACCACTGTACCTGGTCTTATTCACTATTTTTTCGAAATGTCCACAGAACATTTGTTTTGGAAATGGCCATATTCTTGTCTAAGCTGAATATTAAGTTAAATGAAGTTCTTGCTTTTGCTCAGATTTACAAGAATAACAGCACACATAAAGAAAGAAAGGCCGACCACTGAATAGAAACAACTCCACACCAGAATTTGCCACCAGCAATGTCCCACCACCTCTGCTTCTAGTGCCCATGGAATCTTTCCCCTAAACTCTCACATCAGAGAAATTTTAAAAGGTAACAAGTGTCAGTTTACCTTTTCATCCTGAGCGGCCCTGAATCATTCTCTCTCAAAGCACTCAGTCTTTCTCCACATAGCTTTCCACAATTTGTAATTATGAATATAGTTTTGCTTTATAATTTTGAACATTGGAAAACATTAGGCTGTAAGTATTATGAGGGTATGCACCATGTACTTTCTGATCTCCATCCACCCCCAGGCCCTGGAATAGTGTTGGTCACTTGAGAGGAATGTCAGAATGAAGGATAAGTGCATGGGTTCTGCAACCAGACTCCCTGGCTTGGAATCCAGGCTCAGTCAACTTGTTTCATTGACAATTATGTTTAACTACACTAACTCCATATCTTTTAACAACACAACTAACAGAAAACCTGATAGAGTGAGTTACACCAGTAAATGTCCCGTTTTATCCCCATATAAATAGAAGTCTGGAGTAATGGAGGTGCAGGCTTTGGCTCCGTAACCCAATGAGATCAGGTGGCATCTTTGCAACAGGCTTGGACACGCCCTAATGGTAACAAGATGCCGGTCACTATAGCAGGCAATGTGTTCCTGTTCAAAGCAGGAAGAAGTGGAGAGCAGATGGGAGATTGAGTATGCCGGTCCCTATTAATTGAAAAAGTAAAAGCTTCCCCTGAAGCATGCTTGTCACACTGAATACTATGTTTATCTGGACATATGTGCGTCCCATAGCCACCCCTGCCTGCAAGGAAGTCTGGGAGAGGAAATTTCTCTAGGGGAGGCAGCAAGAGAGTAGGGATGCTTTGCTCACTGTAGATCAACAGCTCCATGTGAGCCACTATTTCCAGTGTAACCTTGGGCAATGCACTTTAAAAGAGGTGCTTCAATTCCCTCATCTTAAAAATGAGGATAATAATAGCTCTTGTCATATAGGGTTGCGGTGGAGATTAAAACAGTTAAACTATGTAAAGTACTTCTAATTGTGTTGGTACATACTTAAGTACTCAATGATTGTAGCTATTATCATAATAGGCATTCAACAATATTAATTCAAGAAATGAATTAAGGAATGATTAAAGATTCAAGATTCATGATTAAAGGTTCAAGAAGGGATTTCTGTAGATGTGCCTATTTTTATATATTTCTGAAGGGAAAGAACAACAGCCAGATACAATGGGCAACAGAGTTCACAAATGGCAGTACATCAAACACTTAATAATCTGCTCTCACCAGATTTTACAAAACAGATGGATATTGTAGTGGTTTTCTCATTTGTAGTCCTAGCATTATCTCAGTGGCTAAGTAGGTTCCACATACCACTTTGCAAATTAGGCCTTTATTATTCTATTTCAAATCCTAAAAAGATGAAATTGAAGGTGTCAGAATTACAGATATTTATATTATCTAAAATATACGAAGTGCTATGTATTAGGTGCTGATCTAAATACTTTACACATGATTGCTTATTTGACATTCTTACAACCTTGATGAGGTAGACATTATCATTCTCAAATCTGAAGATAATTTGTTTGCTATTGGTTTTGAACATGCAATCAATAGCTCCTTATGAAAAGCAAATAACAATTTTAGAGTCAATATTTGAAAACAATGGCAATCAAGCTAAGAAAGGAAAGACATTGACATTTAGTATATGCATAAGAATCACATTCATTAATTCACTTATACAATAAATGTTCCGTGAATATATATCTTTTGCCCAGAGTCATTCTTAGCATGTAGAGGACAAATCTAAATAAAGTACAAGACAGGCCTTTACATTTTAATAGTCCAGGCTTCCCAGGGAGATTATATATACACATGTGAATATTAGTGAAGGATGGGATCAGGGGAATGTACCAAATGGTTCACAGGGGTATGAATGTAGAAACAATAATATTGTGTATAATTAACTGAAGAGGTTCTGATGGTCTCACAAGGATTGGCTCAAATCAATACCTAGTAATAGTGATTGCTTTTGTCTATGCAGTCTCTCTCTCCATATCTTTTAACAACACCACTGTGGTTTTCCTCCAGATACTATTTTTTTCTGTTATCAGCCCATGTATCCTGAATGAGACTGGGTTCATTTCATCTACCCAGGTTTTAAATTGGGCATGTGATGCAAGCCTGATAAATAAAAATATCAGAATATTCCATATATCCACAATGATTGATTCAAGTGTGATCAGGCAACCCAAGACATATTAGTGAGATTAAATCTCAAAACATTGTCTGGAACTATTTCGAAGACAAATAAATATATAATATATCTTTCCCCTGGGCTTTCTAAACTATGTGGATTCAGGTTAGCAGGTGCTAGGAGCCTTTTAAGATAAAGGGATTTCTGGGAGTAAATTCCAAATCAAGAAACACAGGGTCAAGAGGTAGAAAGAGTCACATTCTTGTGAATCAATACCTGAGATGCTGGGTCACACTGAATCTGAAGCCTGTTACCCCTGTGATGTGTGAACCAATGTGTTTAAGTATTGTGAATTGAACTTTCTATCATTTGCAACTAATAGCACCTTGACTAAAGATTCTGTTCAAAAGCATCAAGCTAGGCATTAGGAAACAGAAAAAATACAAATATTAGACTTTTTTCAATGTAAGTTTTTAACCAAAAGAGAGAAACTGCATTAATTATCACAAACTAAGAGTCAAGCTCATGGTTCATTTGGTAGGATGCTCAGAAGATTCTTACCTCAGTGGTGGGAAATAATTAGCCTTAGAATAAAAGCTGCCCCAGTTTTACCTGCCAAATTATAAAAACCATGTCAAAAATGGTTAAATAACTTTATTGCAAAACAGATTGTAAAAATAATTATAAAAAAGCAAAAATATCCAACACTTAACAAGGTAAAATCACAATGTCTTGCACTCAATAAAAAATTACCAGACATGTTGAAGAAAAAAAGGAAAATATTATCCGAAAAGAAGAGAAAAATCACAATAGAAATCAACCCGGAGACTTTCTCCAAGATGGCCAGCTAGATGCAACTGGGGAGTGCTGCTCCCACAGAGAGAGACCATGGTTTTGACTATACCAACATAGTTTGTACAGATTTTCAGAGAGAAAATGCCACATGTGAATGGAGAAAAGACTCAGTCACTGAGGCTGAACAGGGAAAAAACTGGGAACCCTGTGTGGGATGCTTGAATGCTATGTCTAGTTCCTGGCCTCAGGCAGTACCTGAAGAAGGGTGAATGAAGGGACTGGGGAACTGCTCACTCTCAGCACAGACCTCTGGGATCCTAGCTGCTTTTAGGCATCCCACAACCCCATGAATGGATGAGCTGGCAGGGACATCTCCCCAGAGATTAGATGGAGTTGGATCTGTAGCAAGCATGCAGCTAGGGACCTTAGAGTGTGAGTCAGCTCTGGTGGAGCCCAGCTATAAGCACCCACCCCCAAGGGCTGCCAGTCTCCCTCTGAGAGGCCCGGGCATCAACTAACTGACAAAGACAAAGCATGATCTCTTTCTCTGTGGGCCTGAGGCATATCTGTCCTGCAGATATGCTTTCCCACTAGCCACTCCCAGGGACACTGCCTGGCTACGCTGTAAGGGCATGTTCACTGTACAGCCTCCACTGCCCAGCCTGGGTAAATTTGCTCCACCTGAGTGCCTTCCAGCAGCCTTGAGCCCTTCAGATCTCCAACTGCACCTGGAAACCAACTCAGACCATCTAAAGGAGGGAATTGTGAGCAGGTCCTGGTGCCCCATGGCTGCAGCTTGCAGCTCAAGAGTGCTGAGCTGGGACTTCAATCAGAGAGGAGCCCACACGCTCAGAAAACTGAGAGGTCTGAGTCACACAGGTTTGTGGGCTGGTTTGGGACTTAGGCATGCCTCCCTATACAGGGCTGGGGTGGTAAAGGTGTGGCCTATCAGACCTCTCCCAAAGGGAGCCCCATGGCCTGAAAAACCTGACAACAACAAAATTGTAGGCACAATGCCAGTTATCAGAGGTGACTCCTCCAAAACCCATAAGCAGATGTGGTGAGAGGGTCACCTCCTTCCCCTTCGCACCTGAGAACACAATTGCAAATGCAAGGATACACAAAGGAACTAAGTTTCAGAAGTGAAGGACAAATAAAATCCTCCTCTGACAAGTAAATGCTGAAGGAATATATTTCAACTAGACCAACCTTACCAGAAGTCTTTAATGGAGTGCTGAACATGGATTTGAAACAATGACACCTGCTACCACAAAAGCATGCTTAAGCACATAGCCCACAAGCACAATAAAGCAACTATACGATCAAGTCTATATAACAACCAACTAACAACATGACAGGATTAAAATTACACATATCAATACTAAACTTCAATGTAAAAGGGCTAAACACCCGCACTTAAAAGACGTAGAGCATCAGGCAGGATAAAGAGACAAGACCCAACCATCTTCAAGAGACCCATCTCACATGTAATGGCACCAACAGGATCAAAGTAAAAGGGTGGTGTAAGATCTATTATGCAAACAGAAAACAGAAAAGAGCAGAAGTCACTATTGTTATAGTAGATAAAACAGATTTTAAGCCAATAAAATTAAGAAGGACAATGAAGGGAATTACATAATGATAAAGAGTATAATCCAACAAGAAGCCTTAACCATGCTAAGTAAATATATGTACTCACCATTGCCACCATTAGAGCACCCAGATTCATAGAACAACTTCTTGGCCTATGAATAACTTAGACAACCAGACAATAATAGTGGGTGTCTTTAATACACCATTGACAGCATTAGACAGATCATTGAGGCAAAAAGTTAACAAAGAAACTCTGGACTTAAACTTGACATTTGAACAATTGGACCTAATAGACATCTACAGAACATTCCGCCCAACAACCATAGAATATATATTCTTCTCATCTGCAAAAAAGAGCATAGTCTAAGATAAACTACATGATCAGTCTTAAAGCAAGCCTCAATAAATTCAAATAAATTGAAAGCATATCAAGCACACACTTGAATGACACTGCAGTAAAAACAGAAAATACCAAAAAGATCCCTCAAAACCACATAGCTACATGAAAACAAAATAACTTATGAATAATTCCTGGATGAAGATTAAATTAAGACAGGAAAAATGTTATTTGAAATTAACAAAAATAAGGACACAACTTACCAAAATCTCTGGGATGCAGCCAAAGCAGTGTTAAGAGGAAACTTAATAGCCATAAATGCCTTCATCAAGAAGTTAGAAAGTTATCAAATTAACAATCTAACTTTGCACCTAAAGGAACTATAAAAAAAGAACAAACCAACACCAGAGCTGTTTGAATAAAAGAAATTACTAAAATTAGAGAACCTAATGAAATTGAGAAGCAAACATCCATACAAAGATGAATAAATCTAAGAGTTGGTTATTTGAAAAAAATAAATAAGATTGATAGGCCTCTAGCTAGATTATCAAATAAAAAGAAAAAAAAGATTCAAATAAGCACAATCGGAAACAACAAAGGAGATATTACAACTGATTTTACAGAAGTAAAAAAGATTGTTAGTGCTAAGACCAGCTTGGTCATGAAGACCCTAACCCAGCAGCACTAGAGGACTTAAAGACACACACACAGAAATATAGAGTTTGGAGTGGGAAATCAGGAGTCTCACAGCCTTCAGAGCCGAGAGCCTTGAACAGAGATTTACCCACATATTTATTGACAGCAAGTCAGTCATAAGATTTACTAAAAGTATTCCTTACGGGAAATAAAGGAATGGGCTGAAATAAAGGGATGGGCTCTGGCTAGTTAACTGCAGCATGAACATGTCCTTAAGGCACAGATTGCTCATGCTATTGTTTGTGGTTTAAGAGTGCCTTAAGTGGTTTTCTGCTCTGGGTGGGCCAGGTGTTCCTTGCCCTCATTCCAGTAAACTGACAACCTTCCAGCGTGTGTGTCAAGGCCATCATGAGCATGTCACAGTGCTGCAGAGATTTTGTTTATGGCCAGTTTTGGGGCCAGTTTATGGCCAAATTTTGGGGCCTGTTCCCAACAGTTAGAGATTACTATGAATAACTGTATATACAAATGAGAAAGTCTAGAGAAAATGAATAGTTTCCAGGAAGCACACAGTCTTCCAAGATTGAATCAGGAAGAGATTGAAACCATAAATAGACCAATATCAACTTGTGAAATTGAATCAGTAATAGATAACCTACAAATCAAAAAAAGCACTGAACCATATGGATTCACAGCTGAATTCTACCAGATGTAAAAAGAACTGATACCAATCCTACTGAAAGTATTGCAAAAAATCGAAGAGGAGGGGCTCCACACTCACTCATTCTATGAAACCAACATCAGACTGATACTAAATTCTATCAAACACAAAGTAAAAAAAGAAAACTTCAGACCAATATAAAAAATCCCTCATGAACATAGACACACAAATCCTCAACAAAATACTAGCCAACCAAATCCAGCAGCACATCAAAATGTTAATATGCCACTGTCAAGTAGGCTTTACTCCTGGGATGCAAGGCTAGTTCAATATACACAAATCAATAAATGTCATTCACTACATAAACAGAATCAAAAGCAAAAACTATATAATCATCTCAATAGAAACACAAAAAAAGCTTTCAATAAGATCAAACATCCCTTCATAATAAAAACCCTCAACAGACTAGACATCAAAGGAACATACCTCAAACTAATAGGGCCATCTATAACAAACCCATCCCCATCATCATGCTGGATGGACAAAAGCTAGAACCATTCCCACTGAGAACTAGAATAAGACAAGAATGCCCATTCTTATCACTCCTATTCAACATAGTACTGGAAGTCATAACTAGAGCAATCAGACAAAATAAGGGATAAAAGGTAACCAAATAGGAAAAGAAAATATAAAATATAAAACTCTCTTTGCTGACAATATAATTCTATACCTAGAAGATACTAAAGAGTCTGCCAAAAGGTTCCTATAATTTGTAAGTGACTTTAGTAAAGTTTCAGGGTACCAAGTCAATGTACAAAAATCAGTAGCACTTCTATACACTAACAACATTTAGGCTGAGAGTGCAATCAAGAACCCAATTCAACCTACAATTACAGAACATGAAATCCCTGGACATACACCTAGTCAAAGAGAGGAATGATCTCTGCAACGAGAACCACAAAACACTGCTGAAAGAAGTCAGAGTCATTACAAATAAATGGAAAACCATTCCATGTCCGTAGACTGGAAGAATCAATATCATTAAAGTAGCTATAATGTCCAAAGCAATTTATGGATTAAATGCTATTTCTATAAAACTACGATGCCATATTTTACTGAATTAGAGGAAACTACTCTAAAATGTATATGGAACCAAAAAAGAACACAAATAGCCAAAGCAATCCTAAGCAAAAAGAACAAACCCAGAGGCATCACACTATTTGATTTCAAACTATATTATAAAGCCACAGTAACAAAAACAGCATGGTACTGGTACAAAAACAAACATATGGACCAATGAATAAGAATACAAAACTCAGAAATAACTGCATATTCACAATTATCTGATCTTTGACAGAACAGGCCAAAACAAGTAGTGGGGAACGGAATCCCTATTGCTGAATAATAAACGGTGCTGGAATAACTGGGTAGCCATATGCAGAAGATTGAAGCTGGATGCCATGCATTTTACCATATAGAAAATTAACTCAATATGGATTTAAGATTTAAACGTAAAACATAAAACTGTAAAAATTCTGGAGGACAAACTAAGAAATACTCTTCTCAACATTGGCCTTGGCAAATAATTTTTGGCTAAGTCCCCAAAGGCACTGCAACAAAAAGAAAAATAGATGAGTGAGATCGAATTAAACCATTGGGCCTCTGCACAGCAATAGCAACTCTCAACAGAGGAAACAGACAATCTGCAGAATGGAAGATGATATATGCATACCACACATCGAACAAAGGTCTAATATCCAGCATTTATAAGGAACTTATAAAGCAACAATTAAAAAACAAATAATTCCATTAAAAATGAGCAAAGAACATGAACAGGCATGTCGAAAAAGAAGACATGCAAGTGGCCAACAAACACACTAAAAAATGCTTGTCATCACTAATCATCAGAGAAAGGCAAATCAAAGCCACAATGAGATGCCATCTCACACCAGTCACAATGACTATTATTAAAATGTCAAAAATCAACTTATGCTGATGAGGCTGAGGAGAAAAGAGAATGCCTATACAGTGTTGGTGGGAATGTAAATTAGTTCAGCCACTGTGGAAAGCAGGCTGGAGATTTCTCAAAGTACTTAAAACAGAGTTACCATTCGACCCAGCAATCCCGTTACCTTGCATACACACGCAAGAAAATAAATCGTCCTACTGAAAGACACATGCACTTGTATATTCATCACCATACTACTCACAACAGCAAAGAAATAGAATTAACCCAGGTGCCCATCAATGGTAGATTGAATAAAGAAAATATGGAACATATACACCATGGCATACTATGCAGCCATAAAAAAGAATGAAATTAGCCAGGTGCAGTGGCTCATGCCTCTAGCCCAGCACTTTGGGAGCCCAAGGTGGGTGGATTGCTTGAGCTTAGGCATTTGAGACCAGCTTGGGCAACATAGTGAAACCCTGTCTCTACAAAAAAAAAAAAAAAAAAAAAAAAAAAAAAAAAAAAAAAAAAAAAAAAGAAAGCAAAACAAAAATGAGGCAGGCATGGTGGTGTGCACTTGCTGTCCCAGCTACTTAGGGATGGGGGCTGAGGTGGGAGGATCGCTTGAGCCTGGGAGGTGGAGGTTGCAGTGATCCAAGGTGATGTATGATCAAGAATAAAATCACGTCCTTTGCAGCAACATGGGTGTAGCTGGAGGCCGTAATCCTAAACAAATTAAGGCAGAAACAGAAAACCAAACACTGCATCTTCTCACTTATAAGTGGACATAGAGCACACATGGACATAAAATATGGGAACAATAGGCACTGTAGACTACTAGAGGGTGGAGGTGGGGTGGGCTAAACTACCTATCAGGTACTATGCTCACTATCCGGGGGTGATGGGGTCCTTATCCCAAACCTCAGCATCACACAATGTTCTCATGGAACAATTCTGCACATGTACCGTCTGAATCTAAAATAAAAGTTGAAATTAAAATTTTTAAAAAAAAGTCAACCCAGAACTTACACAGATGAAGGAAATGGCATACAAGGACATTAAAATAGTTATTATAATTTTATTTTAAATGTTTCAAAAATTAAGTGGAAACATGGAAGAAACACAAAAAGACTCAAATCAAGATTCTAGAGGTAAAAACTATAATATCCGAGATAAAAATATCCAGGATTAACATCATATTAGATAATACAAAAGGCATTATATTATTTATGGTAAATGTATATAATTTTGTATAAATGTATATAATTTGTAGTAAACTTAAAGATACATCAGTAGAAAGGATTTAAAATGAAACAAAAACAGAAAAGAGAATTTAAAGATGATGGTAATGACAGAGTAGAAGGAGGAGGATAAAATGAAATAGGAGGAGAGGGAAAGGGAGCAGGAGAGGAGAATACGAGGACAGAAGGAGGAGGAGAAGGAGGAGGAGGAGAAGGAGGAGGAGGAGAAGGAGGAGGAGGAGGAGGAGAAGAAGGAGGAGAAGAAGGAGGAGAAGGAGGAGGAGGAGAAAGGAGGAGAAGGAGGAGGAGAAGAAGAAGGAGAAGGAGGAGGAGGAGGAAAAGAATGAGGAGGAGAAGGAGGAGGAGAAAGAGGAAGAGGAGGACTAGAAGGAGGAGGAGGAGATGGAGGAGGAGGAGAAGGAGGAGGAGGACAGAAGGAGAAGGAGGAGGTGGAGGAATGAGGAGAGCATCAGTGAGCTGTGGGGCAACTTCAAGCATCCTGATGTATATGTAAATTGATTTTCAGAAGAGGAGAGGGGAATAGACAAGGAGAAGGGGGGAAAAACACTGAAGGTACAGATGCTAAAATATTTTGTCCTTTTCTGCCCTAAGCTTCTACCAACTCAGCTGTGTCCTGCTTATTCCCACAATCAGGCTGCAAGACTGAATAATGATTTTATGTGTTCATCCCTAATCATTCCCCTGTGTGTGAATCTATCTGTATCTCAGTCAGCCTCTGCTTAATTACAACTGTAACCTGCTAACAGTGGTTCTTTGATGTTTAAAAGATAGTTTTTATCCAGCCTAGGCTAAATTAAAATTTAATATAACATCAAGTTGCCATAGAGCTAGCAAGCAAATGACAGCTGTTTAATTAAAACCTAAATCTGATTAGCTAAGCCTATTGAGATGAATACTCTGGAGGAAAAGTATAAAACTATTAAAATCCAAGAGATGAATAATGAGTTTGAAATATGAATTAACCCTCCTTTGTGGTTACTGTGAATTGGCAGGTGCTGGTGACTAAAATGAGCAGTGAGAGCCTTGGCTACTTGCCTAGAAGCTTGAGATAATTATTAATAGCAAAAACAAACTAACTCAAACTAACTCAACTAACTAAAACAAACTAATGACCTGACTTTTTAAAATGAGCCAAGGACATGAATAGACATTTCTTCAAACAAGGCATACACATGTCCAACAGCTGTATGGAAAGATACTCAATGTCCCTAATTATTGGAGAAATGTAAATCAAAACTGCAACAAGGCATCATCTCATACCTGTTAGGATGACTAATATATATGCAAATAGATATGAATATATGGGTAGATAGATATGTGTGTGTGTGTGTGTGTGTGTGTGTATGGTGGAGTGAGCTGGTGAGGGTGTGGAGAAATTGCAGCTTTTGCATACAGCTCGCGGGAATGCAAAATGGGGATGCCTCTATGGAAAACAACATCCAAGTTCCTCAAAACTTTAAATATAGAACTACCATGTGGTCCAGCAATCCCACTTCTGGGTGTTTACACAAAAGGATAGAACTTGGGATCTCAAAAAGATATTAGCATCCCTATGTTGGATGTTCATTGCAGCACTGTTAACAATAGCCAAGATGCAGAAACAACCTAAGTGTCTGCCAACCGATGACTGAATAAAGAAAATGTGCTACATTCATCCAATGGAATAGGATTTAATCTTTAAGAGGAAAGGAAATTCTGATGTTTGCAACAACATAGGTGAACTGGAGAACATTAGAGTAAGCAAAATAAGTCAGTAATGGAGGGACAAATACTGCATAATTCCACTTATATGAGATACCCAAAATAGTCACATTAGTAGAATCAAATAATGAAATGGAGGTTGTCAGGGGCTGGGGGGAGACAGAAATGGGGAGTTACTAATCCAGAAGCATAAAGTTTTAGTTCAGTGAGATGACTAAGCCCTAGAGATCTGTTGGGCAACATGGTACTTACAGTCAACAATACATTATCATACACTTAAAATGTATTAAGAGAATAGATTTCATGTCAATTGTTCTTACCACTATAAAATAAAATAAAACTAACAAACAGCAACAACCAAAACAGTACTTACAGCTCATTCTGTTTTGAGGACTAGTTAACACATAAATCATTGAGAAAATTGCCTGGCATATGGCAGCTGCTCCATATACAGGTTTCTTACTTTTACCCCATATTTGTTCCAGGAAAATTTCTACTTCTTCAAAACCTCACTTCAAGGCTGGGCGTTATGGCTCATGCCTGTAATCCCAGGACTTTGGGAGGCTGAGGCAGGTGGATTACTTGAGCCCAGGAGTTTGAGACCAGCCTAGGCAACATGGTGAAACCCCATCTCTATAAAAAAAAATGCAAAATATTATCCAGACATAATGGCATGCACCTGTAGTCCCACCTACTCAAGAGGCTGAGGTGGGAGAATCACCTGAGCCCCAGAGCTTGTGGCTGCAGTGAGCCATGATTGCACGGAGCTTGAGGCTGCAGTGAGCCATGATTGCACGTCAGGATGAGCGAGAGACTGAGATTCTATCTTAAAAACAAAAACACATCTTCTGTCCTAGGCAGGTAAGCAGCTTCCTTAATGATGTTCTCATCTGATTTGCAGCTTAAGTGCAGCATAAGAGACATCAGTCTCTATGCTGTACCGAGATCTCCTTGTGTGCAAGGAAGGGATCTAATTTTATTTTGTGTGTGGAACCCTCCTACAATGCGTGAAACAGAGAAAGTGCATGGATTACTTAATACATGCTAAACTATTGGGAAACTCTCATAGGCTAAATGGGGTGGTCTTGCTTAACTGGCAAGTGAGTTTAGGGGATGGAGGAGGATGAGGACACTGGTTTTGAAAGACAAGTTCTGAATGACTCTTGGGGTCCTTGAACACGGACCTGCAAAATTCCACCCCACACCTCAAAACTAGCACTCAAAACAGGTTGGCTAGTTTCAAAACTTCCATGTAAATGCAAATATAACAAAATAAAGGCTTTATGTCCTTATGGGAAAGGCTGACAGGAAAAAGAAAATAATAATGCATCTCTTTTCCCCTTAAAACCTTTGTAATTACTATGTGTCAGAGAAGGCTGACAAAAGGTAGCAAGAAATAGAATTCTGTAAAACATACTTTCCTATTTCTAGTACTTTTCTCCACACGAATCCTCCAAGGACACACAGTGGTGTTAGAGCAGAGCTTGTGAATATCTATCCTTCTCATCCTTCAATTAAAAAATGTGAATTTTAAGCTTATGACAGGATTTTAATTTGAGTTTATTGTTACTTTATTTCACAAGTTTTTCACCATGCCTTTCTTCAGGCAAATAAGTCAGGTGATATAAGTTCATTAATTCAGCTTAAATTATGAATTAGGTAGTCCTCGCTAAATTATAATAATAAAAACCATTCTAATATGCCATCCAACACTTATGAACAGCATTTCAGGATTCAAAATCTATACATAAAACTGGTGTCTCCAAAGGCATTTCTTCCATATTGTAAGACATTCAGCTCTATTGTTTTGCGATCTATGTCTTCGATTACATAGATGAACTCCTGTTAAGGGGGCTTCTTGTACAGATTATTTCATCACCCAGGTATTAAGCCCAGTACCTGACAGCTATCTTTTTTTCTTCTCTGCTTCCTCCTACCCTCCACCCTCAAGTAGATACCAGTGTCTGTTGTTCCCTTTATGTTCATGAGTTCTCATTATTTAGCTTCCACTTACAAATGAGAACATGTGATATTTGGTTTTCTGTTTCTGCGTTAGTTTGCTAAGGATAATGGCTTCCACCTCCATCCATTTTCCTGCCAAAGACATGATTTCATTCTTTTTATGGTTGTATAGTATTCCATGGTGTATATGTACCACATTTTCCTTTTCCAATCTGTCATTTATGAGCATTTAGGTTGATCATGAATTTCACCTCTACGTTCATTTATCCTGATGGAATTTGGAAATAGATTTCAACAGTGGTGCTGAAAATGTTGAAGTCATATACCCCCACAGAGAGAAAAACGACAGTGTAGCTTATTATTTCAGGATGGGGACACTGTCCACACCTAGAAGACTATGGTCAGGTTAGACAAGCCCTGCCCCCAAATATGCTCTGACTCCTTCAGTGTCAGGGGCTTCCCACCACTGACCAACTCCTGCAGCAGAGCATGGAATTCAGACCTAAAGCCAATCAGCCTCTGGGATTACCCTGGCCAGAGACGGTTAAGGCTGAGATTTAGCTTCTGATGGGCTCCATATTCTTTCCAATGTCTCCAAATACCACGGGAACCAATATTGTCAGCCTCTTATCCAAGTTGCCGTAGGTACAAGAAAACATTCAATATGCACTGGCACCAATTCAATCACTGCCTAATTTAAAATGGAATCTTCCTTCAGAAACTCAGTTTCATTTATAGGCAAGAACAGCTCATTCGGCTTGCTGTGGGTCTAAACCAACATGCCTACGTGTACAAACTGCTGTGATCCCTTTCCTAACCTATTTATGCTGCCAATCTTCTCCTACCTCTTATACAAATCCTCCTTTTTTCCTACAACACATCACACCTTTCAAACCCCCCTCACATCTATGGCACCCACCACAACCCTGGGAGGTAGGCAGAAAAAATGATATTGTCTTTTACTAGATGAGGTCCTTGAGGTTCAGAGAGGTCACCAGGCTTAGTCAGTCACATAGCATGTTAAGAATACTTCTGCAAAAGCCCCAAGTACTCTCCATCTATTCTTCCCCAAGCAAACACCTTCATCCTCATTTAAAAACCCTTCTACAAAGACATAACTGTTATATATATATGTATAATATGTATTGAATATATATGTGTATATATATTGAATATATACATATCCAATATTGGAGCACCCAGATTCATAAAACAAACCCTTATTGACCTACAAAAACACTTAGCCAAACAATAAAAGTGGGATACTTCAACACCCCACTGACAGCATTAGACAGATCATTGAGACAGAAGACTAACAAATTCTGGACTTAAACTCAACACTAGACCAGTGGAACCTAACAGATGTCTGCAGAATCCTCCACCCAACATACACAAAATCAACATTCTTCTCATCTTCACACAGAACATCTTCCGAGATCAACCACATGCTCAGCCATAAAGCAAGTCTCAATAAATTTTTTAAAAGTGTAATTATATCAGGCACCCTCTTGGGCTGCAGTGCAATAAACACAGAAATTAATACCACAGAGATCTTTCAAAAACACACAATTACATGGAAATTAAATAACGTGTTCCTGAATAACTTGGTGAACAATGAAATTAAGGCAGAAATAAAAAAATTCTATGAAATTAATGAAAACAGGGAAACAACGTATCAAAATCTTTGGGATGAAACTAAAGCAGTGCTATGAGGAAAGTTTATAGTGCTAAATGCCTGTATTGAGTAGTTAAAAAGATCTCAAATTAACATTCTAACATTGCACCCAGAGGAACTAGAAAAACAAACAACAACTACAACAAAGCTAGCAGAGGAAAAGAGAAATAACTACAATAAGAAAAAAGCTGAATGAAATTTATAGGTAAAAATCCACACAAAAGGTCAACGAAACCAAAAATTGGTTTATTGAAAGAATAAAGAAGAATGATAGCCTACTAGTTAGATTAACAAAGTAAAAGAGAGAAAATCCAAATAAACACAATTAGAAATGACAAAGGTGATATTACAACTGACCCCACAGGAGTACAAAAGATCCTCAGAGAAAACTACGAACACTTTTAAAAGTGTAATTATATCAAGCACCCTCTTGGACCACAGTGCAATAAACATAGAAATTAATACCACAGAGATCTTTCAAAACCACACAATTACATGGAAATTAAAAATCTAAAGGATTTAGAAATTAGAAATCTAGAGGAAATGTATAAGTTTCTAGAAACATTTAATCTTCAAAGATTGAAGCATGAAACACGTGAAAACCTAAGCAGACCAATAACAAGTTCCATAATTGAATCAGTAGTGAGAACCAACCAAAAAAGCCCCAGACAAGATGGATTCACAGCCAAATTCCACCAGACATACAAAGAAGAACTGACACCAATCCTACTGAAACTATTCCCAAAAAAGGAGAGGAGGGATTCCTCCCTCACTCATTCTATGAAACCAGCATCAGCCTGATACCAAAGTCTGGCAGAGACACAACGAAAAAGGAAAACTTTAGGCCATTATCCCTGATGAACATAGACACAAACATTATCAACAAAATACTAGCAAACAAAATCCAGCTGCACATCAAAAAGTTAATTCATCGTGATTAAGTAAGCTTATTCCTGGGATGTAAGGTTGGTTCACACACATATCAATAAATGTGATTCACTGTATAAACAGAATTAAAGATATAAACCACATGACCATTTCAACAGATGCAGAAAATACTTTCAATAAGATTCAGTATCCTTTCATGCTAAAAATCCTCAACAAACTGGCTGTCAAAGGAATATGCCTCAAAACAGTAAGAGTCATTGATGAAAAATCCATGGCCAACATCATACTGAACAGACAACAGCTGGAACCATTCCTCTTGAGAACTGGAACAAGACAAGGATGCCCACTCTCACCACTCCTATTCTACATAGTACTAGAAGTCCTAGCCAGAGCAATCAGGCAAGAGAAAGAAAGAAAAGGCAGTCTAATAGGAAAAGAAGTTAAACTCTCTGTCTTCACTGATGATATGATTCAGCACCTTGAAAACCCTGAATACTTCACCAAAAGACTCATAGAACTGATAGAAGATGTCAGTAAAGTCTTAGGATACAAAGCCAATGTACAAGAATCAGTAGCATTTCTATATGTCAATAATGTTTAAGATGAGAGACAAATCAAGAACACAATCGCAGTTACAATACCCGGAAAAATAATAAAATACGTAGGAATATAGCTAACCAAGGAGGTGAAAGATCTATGTCAGAAGAACTACAGAACACTGCTGAAAGAAATCAACAGATGACACAAATAAATGAAAAAACGTTCCATGCTCATGGATTGGAAGAACCAATATTATTAAAATGATGTACTGCTGAAAGTAACTTACATATTCAGCACCATTCCTATCAAATTATCAGAGTTTTTTTTTTCAAAGAATTAGAAAAAAGTGCTAATATTCAAATGGAACCAAAAAAGAGCACAAATAGTCAAAACAATCCTAAGTAAAAAGAACAAAGCCAGAAGTACCACATTACCCAACTTCAAACTATAACATAAGGCTACA
Organism: Homo sapiens; assembly: GCF_000001405.40. NCBI lineage: Eukaryota > Metazoa > Chordata > Mammalia > Primates > Hominidae > Homo > Homo sapiens. The sequence continues at coordinate 126,825,117 of NC_000012.12, read as the reverse complement.
GTAACAAAAACAGCATGATACTAGTACAAAAACAGACAGATAGACCAATGGACCAGGATAAAGAACCCAGAAATAAAGCTTCATGCCTACAACCATCTGATCTTTGACTTGACAAAAATAAGCAATGGGGAAAAGACTCCCTATTCAATAAATGGTACTGAGATAACTGGCTAGCCATATGTACAAGAATCAAACTGGACTCTTACTTATTACCATATACAAAAATTAACTCAAGATGAATTAAAACTTAAACTTAAGATGTTAAACTGTAAAAATCTTAGAAGGAAACCTAGGAAATAAGTACTGGCCTTGACAAATAGTTTATGGCTGAAGTCCTCAAAAGCAATTGCAACGGAAACAAAAATTGTTAAGTGATACCTAATTAAACCAAAGAGCTTATACAAAGCAAGAGAAACAAGGGAGTAAACAGACAACCTATGGAATGGGAGAAATTTTTCACAAACTATGCATCTGACAAAGTCTAATATCCAGAATCTATAAAAATAGCAGATGTTGGTGATGGTGTGGATAAAATTCAAAAAGCAAAAAACAAATGACCCTATTAAAAAATGGGCAAAAGACACGAAAAGACACTTCTCAAAAACCACAGTGAGCTAGCATTTCACACCAATCAGAATGGCTTTTGTTAAAACGTTAAAGAAGGACAGATGTTAGTAAGGTGTGGATAAAAGCGGACCCATACACTGTTGGTTGGAATGTACATTAATCCAGCCATTGTGGAAAGCAGTTTGGAGATTTCTGAAAGAACTAAGAGTTGAGCTATCATTCAACCCAGCAATCCCATTACTAGGTATATACCCAAAGAAAAATAAATCATTCTTGCAAAAAGACACATGCACCTGTAGGTTCATTGCAGTGCTATTCACAATATCAGAGACATGGAATTAATCCAGGTACCCATCAATCATGGGTTGCATTAAAAAATCCTGTATGTACTCCATGTGTATTTGTCTGTTCTCACATTGCTATAAAGAAATACTCGAGACTTGGTAATTTATAAAGAAAAGAGGTTTAATTAGCTTACGGTTCTGCGGGCTGTACAGGAAACATGATGCTGGCACCTGCTTGGTTTCTAGGGAGGCCTCAGGAAAGATGGCAGAAGGCGAAGGGGAAGTCAGCACTTCACATGGTTAAAACAGGAGGAAAGGTAGCAGGGAGGTGCCACACACTTTTAAACAACTAAATCTCATGAGAACTCACTATCACAAGAACAGCACCAAAGGGATGGTACTAAACCATTCACGAGCAACTGCCTCCATGATCCAATCATCTCCCACCAGGCTCCACTTCCAACGTAGGGGAATACAATTCGACGTGAGATTTGGGAAGAGACACAGATGCAAACCATATTACCATGGAATACTAAGCAGCCATAAAAACTAATGAAATCATGTTCTTTCCAGCAACCTGTATGCAGCTGGAGGCCATTATCCTAAGTCAACTGATGCAGAAACTGAAGACCAAATACTGCATATCCTCACCTATACGTGAGAACTAAACATTGGGTTCACTTGTTCCCAATAGACACTGGGGACACTGAAGAGCGGAGAGAGGAGAGGGAACAAGGGGCGAAAGACTAGCTATTGGGTACTATGCTTACTCTCTGGGTGATGGGTTCAATCGTATCTCAAACCTCAGCATCACACAGTATGCCTTTCTAACAAACCATCACATGTCCCCCACTAATTCTAAAAAAAAAGAGTTAAAAATATATATAGGAAATGGTAAAGAAGAATAAAAAATCCTCTTCAACAGCCCCCTGGTCCATACTTCTCTGTCCCATCAGCTGATTCTTCAAAGACTCTCTCACTTGCACATCTTTAGTTAGGCACGAGAGTCCTCTCCTGCCATAGCTACCATGAGGCAAGCCTGGGCAGGGCTTCCATGTTCAGCACCTGAAATACAAAATTCAGAGCCTGGAGGGCTGACCCTGTCTTCTTACTTCCCATGATCCAAGAAATGAGTAATCAAGCTGGCACCTTTCTTTATAAATGGGCATATCCAGAGCTCAGGGCCATTTGGGGTCATGATTATCACAACATGGACCAGGTTGTATTCTGTTGTCCCAGCTAAAGCTAAGTCTTTAGGTCTTGAAAACATTATAGCTTATCATAAGAAGAGCAGGTATTATATTCAAAGTTGGTACATGCCTTCAGAAATTACGTTCACATCTATCCCTGCAAACTAGTACTGGCATCACTGGCCCAGTCCTAGGCAATGCCAGTACATGCACACGTATGCACACACCCTTGTGCACACTGCTTTTTCTGCTGGAAAACAATGCCATATAGATGGACAATGTTATTGCTATGTTCTCCATGAGGCTATTTCCTAGAAGCTCCTTTGGTTGGTGTGAACCCACGTTCATGACTAGAAGGCTCCCAATGATTTGCTCCTGTCTACCTCTCTGCCATATGCACCCCCTCCCTTCCTCTGCCTCAGCCACCTTGGCCTGCCTGGGTCCTCACAAACTGCAGATGTACATATTGCAGGATGTTTCCCTGGCTGGGTCCACTGCCTGCAGGAATCTCTTCCAGGATATAGCATGGCTGATTTTCTCCATTTGGGTCTTGATTTTATTACCTCCCAGAGAGGCCTCTCCTGAAAACTTACTTACCCTCCCTTAGCAAACTAATATTGTCTATGATATATATATATATGTATGCACACATATGTACTTGGGTGTATATATATATATATATATGTATATATATATGTGTGTGTATATATATATATATGTATGTGTGTGTGTGTGTGCATATATATATATGGAGAGTATCCAAGCACGTGTGCGTGTGTGTATATATATATATAAAATATATATATTTTCTTCAGAGTATCACTGTCTAAAATTATATTATTCATTTATATTTTGTCTTACACATTTTCTGCCTGCTTCTCTAGAGCAGACCTAAGGTTACAAATTTTCTCCTTCTTGTTTACTGGTGTGGCTTCTTCCCTTAACACAGTGTCTAGCAGAGAATAGGTATTTCAAATCTAGCAAATGATGCATGCATCGATGAATGCGTGGGTGGATTCATAGGTGGCCACATGGGTGGATGGATGCATGGGTGAATGGATTCATTGTTGGATGTATGGGTAGGTGGACACATGGGTAGATGGATGTGTAGGTGGATGGGTAGGTGGATGCATGGGTATATGAATGTGTGGAGGGATGGACACATAGGTGGATGCATGGATGGATGGCTGCATAGATGGGTGAATGCACGGGTAGATGCATAGGTGAATGGATGCATAAGTGGATAGATGGATGGATAGCCAGGTGGATGAATGGATAACTGGCTGTATGAGTTGATGGATGGATAAATCTACAAATGAGTCAGTCAGTAGATGAAGTAATTGATTGATTTTTTTGGTGTCTACAATAACTTGATGTTAGCACCAAGTTCTTTGAACAACAAAGTACCTTAGACACAAAAATTCTGGCTCTTCTAATCATCACTTTCTCTAAGGACAACTAAAGCATCCTTCCCCTTTTCATCTTCTTTAGATATGAAATTTATGTGGATTGATATGCTGCTAAAATATTAAAAAATCAAACTAAAACCACAAAACAATACAAAATCCTTTTGACAATCCTCCAAGCACTTTGATAAGTCAATGACCACCATCTGGACTGTGGAAATATATGGAGTTTTCCCTGACTATTGGGTGTAATATTTGTGTTTTCACTTCCCCATGCCACAAAGGTCTGACTTCAAAAATTTAGTATAGCAGTGAATGTGATTGACCAGATCTTAGAGACTTCTGCAGACAATAATATCTTAACATTCCAACTCACATTCTCAAACAAGCTAGATTCCAACTGGTTAATGAAATCCCCTTGTAAAAACTTAAATCTTGTTTATTTTCTGAATTAGTTCTGCCTCAGGTCAGATTGTCTAGTTCTGTTAACATCACAGACTTTGTAGAAAACATCAGCTTTTTTCAACTCTAGATCATCCTGTCAGGTTTCTTGAGAGGAGGAGAGAATACCACTGACCATTGAGTTACCTGAAGCAAAGCAGAGCATAAAGAAAGATGGAAACTCATGCCCCCAGGTCACCTAGCAGGTCCATGGTCCTTTGACAGCCTCCAATGCCAAATTCAGTGAGATAAGAAAAGCAGAGGTAAAAAGGCTGATAACATTTTCTCTCCAAAGAATAGAGGGGGGTGATTGGACCCTAATATCAGCAGAATCAATCATTTGCCACCTATCTCATTGTAAAAGGAAAATATCTTGGGCCCTCTAATCACTAAACTAAAAGGAAAAGTCAAGCTGAGAATTGCTTAGGGCAAACCTGCCTCCCATTCTATTCAGTCATTCCTCTGCTCACTGAGATAAATGCATATCTGATCTCCTCCTTTGGAAAGGCTAATCAGAAACTCCATTTCTGGAGTTCCAAAAGAATGCAACCATTTGTCTCTCACCTACCTGTGACCTAGAAGCACCCTTCCTTCTTTGAGATGTCCCACTTTTGGGACCAAACTAATGTTCATTTTTTGCATATTGATTGATATCTCTTGTCTCCTTAAAAGGTATAAAACCAAGTTGTGCTGTGACCACCTTGGGCACGTGTCATTAGAACCTCCTGAGGCTGTGTCATGGGTACATCTTCAACCTTGGCAAAGTAAACTTTCTAAATTAACTAAGAACTGTCTCAAATTATCGGGGTTCACAGCATCCATAAATTGACCTTGGTCATTCTCAGGAACCAGAGTCCATAGCTTTTATCTAACTGCAGGCCACTTTGACAGGGACCATTTATAAATGGTCCACTCCTTTTGACATCACTGCCTCATTTAGATCATTGCTCAGACATCGCCCAACAGATAAGCTCTCCTGAGCCACCCACGTGAAGCAGCATCCACCCTGTCATGCTCTCTCCCTCAACCTTGCTTATTTCCTTCACAGTGTAGCCCAGTATCCCAGCCTTGAAATGCATCTTAGAGGTTTTTTTCCCCCACTTTCTTTCTTAATCTCAGACTATAGCCTTGTTGGAAATAAATTTTTGGTGCCACAAAAGAAATAGCACACGAACATAAATTTTCTCAGCAAGGCAATTTTACTTCTATAGAAGGGTGCATCTTGCAGATGGAGCAATGGTGACAGTACACCTGAACAAGGGAGGGGAAGGGGTTCTTATCCCTGACACAGGTAGCCCCTACTGCTGTGTCGTTCCCCTATTGGCTAGGGTTGGGCCACATAGTCTAAGCTAATTCAGGTTGGCTATTTTAAAGAGAGCAGGGATATGGGCCAGAGTGGTGGGGTGAGCAGTTTCAGCGGGAAAGATGGTTACAGAACAGATGACTAAAGGTGACTCAGGTCAGAGCAGGTGACCAGGAGTGACTCAGGATGGAGCAAGTGACCAGGGGAACAGGTGTGAACTACTGATTAGAATTGGCAGGAAGGTTGTTTACTGAAACCAGGGGCAAGGAGATGAAGAGAATGAGGAAGTTAAACTTTAAAATGGAGGACAAAGAATGGAACATACTGACATGGTGATTCTTTGAAGAGAAACTTAGAACTCACTGTATTTAATAGCCTTGAAATGTACTTTAGCAGCCTTTATTTCCCTCCCTTTCCCACCAGGCATTCCCTTGCACTGTGCTCATTTATCTTATGTGCTTGCTTAGAAATTCTAGGGGCTAATTTCGAAACAAACCAGGCCTAGAAACCCAGCTGCAGGATCCCCTTACACAGGATCCCCCCACACATGAACAATTAGTCCACCACCACCAGGCCTAGGTCAAGGTGATAACCAACCAGACCTCTGGATGAGTGATTACTCAAGACAGCCATTGGAACAAGACACACGGACCCAACATTCTGCACCACTCCTGCATGCCTCCCACACCAAGTCTCTCTTTTTTTTTTTTTTTTTTTTGAGATGGAGTCTCCCTCTGTCGCCCAGGCTGGAGTGCAGTGGCAAAATCTCGGCTCACTGCAAGCTCCGCCTCCCGGGTTCACACCATTCTTCTGCCTCAGCCTCCTGAGTAGCTGGGACTACAGGTGCCCGCCACCACGCCTGGCTAATTTTTTGTATTTTTTTTTTTTTTAGTAGATACAGGGTGTCACTGTGTTAGCCAGGATGGTCTCGATCTCCTGACGTCATAATCCTCCCGCCTCGGCCTCCCAAAGTGCTTGGATTACAGGCGTGAGCCACTGGGCGGCCCGAGTCTCTCTTCTTAAACCCCCTCACTCAGCTGAAAGAGCTGAGGTGGTCCTTTGAGACTTCAGTCTGGCCATTCTCCTCAACTGCAGGCATTTGAACAATCAAGCTGCTTTTCCTTCACCACACATTGTCTCTGGTGTATTCTTTGCAAACTGAGAGCAGCCTGGCCTGAACTGAGTTACAACAGCACTTCTCAATCAATGAAATGTTCTTGTGCATAGTTTGAACTGTCTGCCTGTGTGTGCTCCCCACACCAGCCAGCAAGGGCCAGGAGGGTGGAGGATCCACCTGGCTGTATGAATGCAGTGTCCTCAGTGTCTGGTCTGGTGCCTGCTGCATGATAGCTGCTCAATAAATATCTCTTGAATAAATGAGTGAATCCCAGCAAGACATCCTTTTCTGACTTTCATCTTCTTCGGCTAAGAACTTGTGATTGATTAGTATCTTATGCAGAAAAAAAAAAACACAAAAAAAGAACATAAAACAACACATAATCTCTCCGTGACACAGGTAATGTGAGAGACCCAGGTTCCTGGAAGGCTTTTTTCTTCCCTAGGGTAGTAGATAAAGGTCTGTATATGTCTATACAATCTCTCACATATGTGCATTTACACAGGGACACACACATACACATTTCCTCTGATTTAAGAAAGTGAATGTTTACTAAAATAAAATGTTAAAATTGGAAAATGGCTTCAAAATTTACAAAACGAAGTAAGTATGCTAGGAATGTAAAAGAGTAAATTTGAAATGATAGCTTTTGGAAATTTGTAGCATTTACATTTCTGAAAATAAAGTTTAAAGGTTAGCTAAAATGTGTGTAGGCATAAACACTCATATTTATTTGTGTTACTATAATAAGTCATACTTTAAAGCATTTACCATGTGCTAAGCTCTGTTTTAGGAATTGTATTCTATAACTCATTTAAGTGGAAGCTTGGTGTGAGAAAGGCCCTTTAGCCATTGCTTTTTGATCAGCTTTCTGCTGGGGCCGCAGAGAGAGACGATGTGCCTGCCCACTGCAGCCATCTTGTGCCCATGAGGTAGCATCTGAGCAAATGCCAAAAATATCCCAGAGACCCTGGCTCTGATGTCTATCAGCAAGCAACCTTAGCCTGTAAGAATAATAAACTATCTATCTGAGCATGAGTAGTCTTTTATTGCAGGAAAAAAATATTTCAAATGTATATATGCTATTAGTAGACCAAGAAAAAGCACAATATGGACACTGTGTTTCTTGAGCTCGATGAAGCCCAGAATAAGACAGTCAAGAAACTTGAGCAATTTAACATTAGCCTTTCATGACATAGGAGCCATGCTGGAGAAAACGAGAGGTAAGTCAGTTGCCAACTAATGAGTGGTAAGAGGAACATTTTGGAAATGTTCACAGAAGTGGTAAAAGGAACATTTTGGAGAACACTATTATATTTATGAGACCCCTAATGATAAATACATACACTAAATTTCTCAGCTTGGATAAAAATCCTGATTGTACAGTCTTTATACTTCCAATTGTAATGGATTTTCAAGTACTTGAAATAAGCTTCAGCCAAAGATCCTGATGTACTTTTGATAGCAGAAACAAGACAGTGGATTGCTATCACTTTATATGTGACTCCAGGTGCCTGTAATTTTCAGAACTGCCTGGTATCTTAATACTTGTCTGGGTCCCCATCTCTTTGATCCCTTTCTAGTACCTGTCCCATGCTATTTCTTATTTCAAAGAAAATATTAAGCATCAGAAAAAAATCTACCCTGTCTTACACTTTCTAAATTATAATTCTACTCAAGTGCAATGGATTCCTGTGCTTGAACTAGAGCCTGGGAAGTAACTTTCTGCCCTTTATCTTGCCTGATACAATTTTTCTAGTGTACCCTCCTAAAAGGGATGTAGTAATCACTTGTTTCTCCCCCAGTCTTTCTCTAAAATGAAAAGGACACAGTTTCAACAGCAGGTGTGCACATTTCTGCTAACATTTTTCAGCACGAATCTCAAGAATCACATCACTACTGCAGATGAAAGTGATCTGAGCCATAATCTTAAGTCCTCTCACCTCCAACCAAAATGCTGCCTGCTTAGTTTTCAGTTACCAATTCAAAAGTCTGGGGTAGTTGAAGACCATTTAAATGTATAGCTTGTAAGGAAATAACCTGTATTTGAAGTTGCACTGCCAGGGGAGGAAGGCTTTTGTTTTCCACTAGAACAGATGTACTTGAGAGAAAAACACAACATCCTTTGACACATTCCTCTCTCCTCCTGCCTTAGCAAAGATTTGGAACCAACCCAAATGTCCATCAATGATAGACTGGATTAAGAAAATGTGGCACATATACACCATGGAATACTATGCAGCCATAAAAATGATGAGTTCATGTCCTTTGTAGGGACATGGATGAAACTGGAAACCATCATTCTCAGCAAACTATCGCAAGGACAAAAAACCAAACACCGCATATTCTCACTCACAGGTAGGAATTGAACAATGAGAACACTTGGACACAGGAAGGGGAACATCACACACCAGGGCCTGTCAAGGGTGAGGGGATGGGGGAGGGATAGCATTAGGAGATATACCTAATGTAAATGATGAGTTAATGGGTGCAGCACACCAGCATGGCGCATGTATACATACGTAACAAACCTGCACGTTGTGCACATGTACCCTGGAACTTAAAGTATAATAAGAAAAGAATTTTAAAAATTAAAAAGAAAAACCCTCCAAACTTCTCAGGCACTGTGGGATGGCACTGTAGGGCTCTTTTTGAGTAACAGAATTCCTGTGATTTGGGATTTGAGAGGAGTCTGTTATTGAAGAAAAAAAAATACACCATAGTGCCAGGGAGGCTGTACTGTCTTTTGAGTCTGCAGGAAACATACCACCTGGCTTATTACTTCCCAAAGCCCTCACTGTGCATCCATAATTTTCTCTACCTAAGAAGTCTTCAGATGTTATTACTTAATAATTTTCTTTAAATTAAGACTCTGATCTTCCACCTTCCTAAGTAATAAGAGTGGTATTCACAAAATGCTGATGTACTAGTTATGGACTTCATATAGCTGGAATAACTACTTATTTATGCCAGTAATGGACACACACATGCGCACACACATACACAGAGACACACACACACACACACAATGCACACACTTGAAGACACATACATGCAGACACACATTTGCACACATACATGCATGCACATGCACACAAATGCATACACACATACACTCATGTGCACACATGCACACACATGCATATACACTTACACACATATGTGGACACACACATGCACAGGGTAAGGCAGGGTGAGGGCCATGGCTCAGGATCTAAGGGAACACTCATTCTACTCATTCTCAGGGTTATACACATGGGAAGTGGCAACCATTTGTAATTTTGTACCCTAATGACTTGCTTGCCTACCTCTAGACTTTGCCTTGCACACACATAGACTTCCAACTTCATACAAGAATTCACTTTCCTATGTGTCACCTAAAATCATCCAAATAAGCCAACAGGCATTGAAACTTATTACACTTCGGTAAACTCTAATCTTATCAAAACTGCAAAGACACTGTGCAAAGTGCACAGCCTCCTCTTCCCCCCACGCTCTGCCAGTGAATTCTCCAATGGATCCTATGAACTGAGAAGCCTGATGGGATTTAAAGACCCCTAAAAGGAAGAACCACCTGTTCTGCAATTTAGAACATTACAGGGGTCAGCTGAGGTTATATCTGGGGCTCCTTTGGCCTCATAGGGCTTTCAACTCCATAGAGTGCTGCTCTGAGAAAGCTGCAGGCTGCAGGGCAGGAAGGGCAGGTCAGAGACCACTCCTGAGAAGGCTACAACCTCCTAGTGTGACTCACGGAACACACAAGGTCAGCTCCTGGTGCAGGTTCCAAGAAGCAAATGCTACCTGCAGAGCCCTCTTGGTGGCCCAGACCTCTACACTCAATAGATAGATAGATAGACAGATAGATAGATATAGATAGATGACGATGATAGAGATAGATAGATATAGACAGAGACAGATAGATGATAGACAGATAAATATAAACAGATAGATACAAATAGATAATAAATTGATTGATAGATGACAGATTGATAGATATAGACAGATGTCAGATACATTAGAGAGAGAGTGAGAGAGGAAAATGTGGGAGACACAGAGGGTGGGAGTATAAAAGTGAGTGAGAGAAGGAGTCAGAAGAAAAGTGAAAGAAAACAAAAGAACAACAACAAAAGAAACAAAACAAAAAGGACTCATCTAACCAACTTTTCCATTTTATATCATGAGGACTTGAGGCCCAAAGAAATGGTGTGATTTGCCCAGGGTCATAAGGTAGGTAAGGGAAGAAAATAACAGACAGCCTCCTCCACTGTCTTCCTGGAGATCAAATAGTCTTGGAGGAAGCATGTGACCATGAAAATTAGCTAGAAGAGGACAAGTTACTCACCTGCTACCCCTCTCCGTGTGCATGGAAAGCAACATCTCCCTCCTGCACTGGACACTCTCAGACCTTTGGAAATTCCTCTGCTAAGCAACACACTCCTTCCCAGGAGAAAACCTCTCATCTCCATAATACCACTACAGCTCTCTGGCAAATGAAGATTTTGGCTCTAAATATCCTCTCGGAACCTCATAAATCCTGAACGTCTTTTCCCACTTGAGCTGAAACCAGGCTGAGCGGCTGGCAGGTGGGGCTCAGAGCAGCAGTGTGAGCTGCATTTCCAGAGCAGGAAGCTGGAGATTGAAGTCTCAGAGCCAGAAAAGAGATGTCCCTGGATGTAGCCTAGATGTAGCCCTGCCAGGAGCTCCTTGAGAAGGAGCTTAAGAGAGACACCTGGACTTCCAGACAGGCAGCACTTCAAGGAGCTCAGTCACACCTGTGCACTGCCATGGCTGCAGGGGGTCACAATTACCCTTGGTATTGCTCTGCAAACTACAACCATTCACATATGAAGCTCACTCATTTTGCCCCATAACCTTGTGTCACCTTCATTATTTTGTATTTAATAATTCATTTATTTTGTTAAAGCAGATCACATTTTAACTAAAATTTTTATTAGTTTATTTTTATTTTATTTTATTTATTTATTTATTTTGGAGATGGAGTCTTGCTCTGTCACCCAGGCTGGAGTTCAATGATGCAATCTCTACTCACTGCAACCTCCGCCTCCCGGTTCAAGCAATTCTCCTGCCTCAGCCTCCCAAGTAGCTGGGACTACAGGTGCACACTACCATGCCCAGCTGATTTTTTTATATTTTAGTAAATACAGGGTTTCACCATGTTTCCCAGGCTGGTCTCGAACTCCTGAGCTCAGGCAATCTGCCCATCTCGGCCTCCCAAAGTGCTGGGATTACAGGCGTGAGCCACCATGCCCAGCCTTAATTGAATATTTTTATCAATTAAATATATTTAAAAATCTAAACCCACATACAAACGCTGCTGTTGTTATTGACTTTTAATTGCAGGTAGATACTTCCCCCTGCCCAAAGCCCTGGGCCTAAGGGCTACTATTTCTCTATTACAAGGAGGTGGCTGCAAATGTTAGAGAGTTTTATTCCAGGCATTAGAACACCCAAGGGAGATCCTCTAGTTAACTTATCCAAAAGAGTAAACGAGGTCTGCAAAGGGCATGTCTTTCTCCCTGTGCCATTCAGTGCTAATTAGGACTGTGTTCTCCTTCTACCAGAAATCCTCGTAGCACCAGAGATCCACATCCTCCACTTTGGGAAACATGGGACCAGAAGGTCAAGTTCATACTCCTCAGCCAAATCTTTATGAATTTCCATGATCAGACTCTACCTCCCCTGACCCGTCCGTCCCACATGTCCCCCACTCATCCCCCTTTGCCTTCAGAGCCCCCCACCACACCCGCACACCAGCGCAGGCTCCCACCCCATATATACAGGGGGATGCTGCTTCATGGCACTTAGCCAAATGGTGATTAAGGGTGCTCTTTGCTGTGTAAAGCCTCTCTGCCCTGTAGAGCTCAGGGACGGGTGCTTTGTTGCTTTTTTCTCCATTGTCTTCCAACAGCCTTGCTGAGTTACTGGCACATAGCAGATGCACAGAAAACACATGCTCAATATTATTGTATGAATTATTACTTGGGCTAACTCAGGAAGTAATCCATTCCCAATGTAGAGCCAGTATATTCTTGAGCATATTAGCAAAAGTTACCTCTGTCCTAAAATACTTTATTTCCATCTAATAGAAAATTATCAAAAATGACTGATTGGGTTGAACGAGACACTTTACTGCCATGTGCTGTAACAGTGTCCTACTGAATATCTAAATCTATGGTCTCTGCTATGGGATAGGGAGTATCACGCATTGCCCAACCTATTCAACTGTTCTCAGCAGCCCTGGGTGTGTTCAGACACCTGCAGACCGGGCACCCACCTGGTGGGAGTGGTGGCTGGTGCTCAGCTGAAAGTTTGTCCTCTGTGGCCTTCAACGGCCCTTTTATTAGAAATAGTTTACCCAAGAGGAATTCTCTGCTCCAATCAGCGTGAACGATTCACGTACCCTCCATTGGCCTCTCATTCTGTGCTCTGCCCACCGTGACCCCTGCCGTATCCAGGGAGCTTCATCTATTGATAAATTTCAGATTCTAAATCTACAAAAATAGCACACAGCATAGAGTAAATAAATCAATGTAGTTAATACACTAGAAAACAATTTCTATCATAAGGATATGCCATGTCCAAAAGCAGACACACAGAAATCTTGCAGACAAATGAGTCTGCAACTTTGTCGGTAAAAGGAGCTCAGGGAAGGAAGGGAACTCTTCTGCTGAGGCCTCTGTGGACATGGGGAGGGCTTTGGGAGATGGGTGTGGTGGGTTTGGATGAATGACTTTTGGCATTTCCCTTCTGATTTTGTTCCATTACACCCCAAATCTCTGCAGCTCAGGGGCATTATTTTGTCTAGATCAGAGGTCAAGAAACTTGATGTTACTTTAAATTTACATTAAACTTACTTTAATGTAAAGGGCCACACTGTAAATATTTTAGGCTTTTGGGGTCATGTAATCTCAGCTATGCCTACTCAACTCTGCTTTTGTGCTGCCACAGCAGTAACAGAGGATACTATACAAATGGATGTGCCAGGATCTGGCTCAGGGGCAGTAGCTTGCTGATGCCTGACCCAGATTGCAGCTCTGAATTTTACTGCCACTATGAAGTGACAGTGAACCAGCAAGTAAAAAGATCCTGCTACCCTCGCCTGCTTCAAATCTTCACAGCACAGGACATAGAGTTGCCTCTCTCACTCTGTGCTGAGGAAATATCCAGTTACCCACAGGCACCCCAGCCTGCAAATGCCGAGAAGCCTGAACTCCCCTGGGGAGAGACACCAGCTGGCTGCCTGTCTCATCCGTTTCCCTTGGAAGTAAATACCCCTTAGCATTCTCACTGGGAGGTTATACATTTGGCTACAAATGCCATTATTGAACACTGCAATCATTGCTTTTTCTTTTCTAGCTGGGAAGTAAATGATATGGACTATTGGATCAAACAGTGTTTTAAAAGAGCTTGGGTATTCATACCCACTGTTAAGTGACGAGACCTGTGGAGTAGCTCTGGAGAGAAGATGTGAAGCTACTTCCTCACATGGAAAGACACAAAACGGAGGCCGGGGGCAGGGGCTCATGCCTGTAATTGCAGCACTTTGAGAGGCGAGGCAGCAGGATTCCTCGAGTCCAGGAGTTCCAGACCAGTTTGGCAACATAGGAAAACCCTGTCTCTACAAAAAATTAAAAAATTATCTGGGCGTGGTGGTGTACATCTGTAGTCCCAGCTACGTGGGAGGCTGAGGTAGGAGGATCACTTGAGCCCAGGGGTTTAAGGCTGCAATGAACTATGATTGTGCCACTGCACTCCAGCCTGGGTGACAGAGTGAGACACTGCCTCTAAGTGATAGGAATTACAATAATAGTAATAATCATAATAAACGAACTGCTTATCTCTTAAGGACAATCTCTTAGGTCAAGATGGATCCCAACAGAGATTTCTTCTATAGACACTCTTGTTTTAAATAAATACAACTTTTTACCATTAAATTTGTTTAGAGAAACTGGTTACAGTTCACAATGCCCTGTCTAGTGCCAGTTTGGAAGATTCATCCGTAGCGTGTTCCAGCATTCCTTTAAGAAAACCACCATTTTTCGCTTGAGATGTCTTATTTCATGAATAATTTTAATGTGGCATTCAAATCTGGGCCCCTGTATCAGCCCAAACCCACCCCCTTCAGTCTTCCAGGTCTCCCCTGATGGCAACCCCATTCTTCTAAGACCTATGTCAAAACCACAGTGTCACCCTTCATTCCTCTCATTTTCTCACACCTCTATGTGACAGGCAAGGGACACCTGTCAGCGCTACCTTTGAATAGCCAGAATCAGAGCTCTTCTCACCATCTTAATGGTCACCACCCTCACGTAAGAAACCATCCTCAGCTGTCTGCCTCCACGCACTGGCTTCCTAACTTCTCACCTTATCTTTTCCCTTGTTCCTTTTAGTCTATGCAGTGAGCCTAATAAAAAGGAGACCAGGTCCTGCCCGTTCTTGATTCGAACCCCAAGGCTCGTCAGGCTACACTAAGTAAGAGCTAAACTCCTTGCAAGGACCAACGTGTCTCTCCGCATTCCACCCCCATCCCGTCCATCTCTATCACCTCATCGCTGGGCCTCCTTCTCCTGGCACACCCCAGCCCGGCTTCATTGGCCTCCTTTCTGTTCCCTGAAATGCTCATTCTCAGGGTCCCAGGGCCTTTGCACCTGCTGTTCCCACTGCCTGCAATGCTCTTTCCCCAGGCACGTGCCTGGCATATTTGCTTACTCCCTTCAAGTCCTCTCCAAATTCCATCTTCTCAGTGAGGATCTCCTGGCCGCCATCCTAGAATTGCAATTTCATCTTCCTACGCCAGCTTTTTCTATTCCCCTTCCTGCTTTACTTTTCTTTTCAGCACTTTTTCTCTCTAATGTAGCACATATTATTCATTTTGGTTTTGTTTCCCTTTTAGCATGTAAACGTCACCGGTCTTGTTCATTGCTTTATTTTATAGTACATGGAATAGTACATGGTCAACATTCCACAAACATCTATTGAATAACAGATAACCAAATAGGCAGCAGAATCATAAACTGTACATCCTTTATACAGATCCTACTTCCTTCTGTTCAATGTGGTTTTAACAATTGCACATTTTTAATGAAAGGATTCAAATCATTAATAAATAAACATTACCGTTTCTCTTCTCTTTTAATTAAATAAATCCAAACAAATGTGACAAACATTTTTCATCTAATTGTAGCTGCAAGGTTACAATAAATTGGAATATCCTGCCAATAAGAACATGCACAGGTACAACTTTTTGCAGAATATGTTGGCAAGATATAGTCAAAACCTTAGCAGTCATCACATGAGGAGGTTTCCAGGGTTTGGAGATGCTTTGTACCTGTGATTCCAATGTAAATAATAATCATAGAGAAGTAACCATAGAGGCAGGCAAAGCTGTATCACGGCATCTTACCACAGCATTGCTTATAATCTCCAAACTCTGGAAACCTCCTTAATATTCAGTAGTGGAAATTAGATAAAGTATACCTCAACCACAGGCTGAGATATGATGACACATCAAAATCTTTCTTAGAGGCTGGGCACGGTGTCTCACGTCTGTAATCCCAGCATTTTGGGAGGCTGAGGCGGGTAGATCATCTGAGGTCAGGAGTTTGAGACTAGTGTGGCCAACATGGTGAAACCCCGTCTCTACTAAAAATACAAAAAAAAAAAAATTAGTCGGGCATGGTGGCACATGCCTGTAATCCCAGCTACTCAGGAGGCTGAGGCAGGAGAATTGCTTGAACCCAGGAGGTGGAGGTTGCAGTGAGCTGAGATCGCGCCATTGCACTCCAGCCTGGGCAACAAGAGCGAAACTCTGTCCCCTCCAAAAATAATAATAATAAAATAAAATCTTTTTAAGGAGGCAATTGAGTAACATGGGGAAAGTGCACAAGGTACCATAAATTGAAAGGAAAAAAAGCATCATGTTTAAAGGTAGTGAATATACCAAAATTTCATCTTGTTAAAACAGGAATGGATACAGAGAAAAAGAGATAAATAGATAACAACTGGAAATAGATAACAACTCGTGAATGTTTTTAAGTCTTTTGCCACACATTGCCAACATTTTCTGTAGAAGGTCACAATTCCACTGTCTCCTTGGTAGTGCAGGAAATGCTCATTCCATCTTAACCTCACAGATACAGCCTATTATTACTTTATAATAGAGTTAACAGCAATTCTCTCTAGGTAATAGGATGTTAAGTAAAAATTATTATCTTCTATGTGCTTATCTTCATTTAACCAATTTTAGCCATGGATGTGCATCAATTTCCCAATTAAAACATTTGCTTTGAAAAATTAAATTATTTTGCTTGAATAAATGATTCCCTCATCACTTATGTAATGATGGAAAAATGGTCCCAACATAGAAAACTGGAGTTTCATGGAAAAGGCTTAGGATTTGAAATTAATAGAGATGGATTTGCTTCCTTTTTTATCATCTGTCTATAATTTTTTTTTAGCCATATAGTAGCAATATGAGGATAATGGCACCAATAATGTTTTGAGCAGCCACTGACCAATTGTAAATCTAAATTATTGTTTTCAGAGTGCGTTCGTTCTGGGAAGCCCTCTATTAGACTCACCAGGGGTATTTTAACACAACTGAGGGTTTCAAGGACATACACAGACTTCCTAAATCACTCTCTAGGAGTTGAGAGTCCAGGAATATGCAGGCAAAATCAGCTCACCTGGTGTTTCTACAGTTCCAACATGCTGAATTAACAAATATTTTTAAATGGAGTGTTTCTTCTTCTAAATTCTTGTAATACCTTAAACAACCTTAAAGAATGTCATTCTTTTCCTCATTAAAAATGAAGCTCCCCAAAGGCCTGAGGGTTTCGTTTAAATCAAGCAGGTTAAATGAGAATTGACTGTGGCAAAATTGAAGTCCATTTGGGGATATGTAAATAAGTGTTCCTGAAATGCACTTGAATGTCTAAGATCTAAGAATTTCCCTCAGCTCTTCTATAACTCTTTCATGTGATTGGTTTTCTCTCCCTATTCTGTCTGTTCTTACTCTACAGTTGATGGAACTCTGCTCATTTGAAAGGATTTGCTAAATGGCTAGAGTTTCTGGGTCTGAAAGGAAGACGTTTGCTGCCTGGGTGGTTATAAGAGTCTGAACTTCCTCAGCTGTAGTGTCACAGATGCAGGGAGGCAGGCACACAGAGAAACACTTCTCTTCATTAATAAAGGAGATTAACCTTAACATTTCTTGGCAGCTGTTCAGCAGGCGGCTTGTTATCACGACAAGCATTTTTTTTAAAGACTCACAATGATAAACAATATGTCACAACAGCTGTCAAAGTGTGTTTTATGCAGTGACTTTCCATACGTAGCTTAGGGGGGTTTTTTTTAGAATTGTCCCTGTGACTAACCATGTCCTGTTGGCTGAAGGCAGCTATAGAGGGTGATATGGTTTGGCTGTGTCTCCACCCAAATCTCATCTTGAATTGTAGCTCCCATAATTCCCATGTGTTGTGGGAGGGACCTGGTGGGAGTTAATTGAATCATGGAGTCAGTTTCCCCCTACTCTTCTTGTGGTAGTAAGTCTCACAAGATCTAATGGTTCTATAAGGAGGAACACCTTTTGATTGATTCTCATTTTCTCTCTTGCTGCTGCCATGTAAGAAGTGTCTTTCGCCTTCTACCATGATTGTGAGGCCTCCCCAGCCGCATGGAACTGTGAGTCCATTAAACCTCTTTTTCTTTATAAATTACCCCATCTCGGGTATGTCTTTATCAGCAGTGTGAAAATGGACTAATACAGAGGGAATCCCTTAACATAAACATAACGGACCAATGGTGCTTTATTTCTAAGTCACAGTTCAGTCTGAAGTCTACAAAGGCTTTACTCTCATGTCAACTCAGGTTACAGCAAGATGTGAGCTAGTGCCTTGAGAAGGGCTCTTATCATGCACCCTGTTGACACTTCCACTGCCTCCTCCAACAAGCAGCTTCATCTCTCACCTGGATGGTTACCCCAGCCTCCCTTGCAATCTCCATTCCATTCCCCACACTTCCACCAGGCATCCAAGTAGTTTTTTTTTTTAATTTTATTTTTTTAGAGACAGGTTCTTGCTCTATCACTCAAACTATAGTTGGAGTGCAGTGGAACAATCACAGCTTAGAATAATCACAGCTTGCTGCAGCCTCCAAATTCCTGGGCTCAAGTGATCCTCCTGCCTCAGCCTCCCAAGTACTACAGGAGCATGCCAGAGTGCCCAACTAATTTTTCAAATTTTTTTGTAGACACAGAGTCTTGGTTTGTTGCCCAGGCTGGTCTTGAACCCCTGGCTTCAAGCAATCCTTCCTCCTCATACTCCCAAAGTGCTGAGATTACAGGTGTGAGCCATGGCACCCAACCCCAATTAGTTGTCTTAAATATATATCAGAACATGCTTCTCCTCTACTTAAAAGTAGTAAAATAGGCCAGACACAGAAAGAAATATACTGCATAATCTTACTTACATGTGAAATATTTTTAAAAAGTTTGCATATATAAAAACAGAATAGAAAAGTGGTCACCAGGAGTGAGGAAGGGAGGAGAGATGCAGGTCAAAGGGTAGAAAGATACATTTATGGAGGATGAATAAATCTAGACAACTAATGGATAGCATAAGAACTGTGGTTAGTAATAGAGTACAATATTGTGTACTAAAAATTTGCTGAGAAGGCTGGGTGTGGTGGCTCACGCCTGTAATCCCAGCACTTTGGGATGCCAAGGAGGTCAGATCACCTGAGGTCAGGAGTTTGAGACTAGCCTGGCCAACATGACGAAACCCTGTCTCTACTAAAATACAAAAATCAGGCGGGCGTGGTTGTGCATGTGTCTAATCCCAGATACTCCGGAGGCTGAGGCAGGAGAATTGCTTGAACTCAGGAGGCGGAGGTTGCAGTGAGCTGAGATCACACCAGTGCACTCCAGCCTGAACGACAGCCAGCCAGACTCCATCTAAAAAAAAAAAAAAAATTGCTGAGAGTAGATTTTAGATACTCTTGACATTAAAAAAAAAAAAAGAAAAAGGTAACTGAGTGAAGTGATAGGCATGCTAATTTTGTTGACTCTAGTAACCATGTGTATGTATCAACACAATCTGTTGTGTACCTTAAATACATGCAATATACAAAAATCTTCAGTAATTTTGCCCTAGGAGAACATTGTTGCCTGCTTGAGATCCTGCCTGTCTCTGCGATCTCATTTCCTACGACTTTGTCCTGTGCTCACTCCATTTTTCTGTAGTTTCTGGCATGTGCCAAGCCCTTTGTCTGTCTCTAGGTTCTCACACACCTATTCCCACTCTCATGGGTACTTTCTGCCTCACAGAAGATTATCTTCTCAGCAGTTCAGTTTTAGCTTAAAAGTCAGGTAGACACAGAGAAGAAATTGTATGCTATAGATTACAACCATTAGTGAGCAATGAAATCAACTTTAGTTGGTCCTAAAAGAGAACAGTTCTTAACTCAGAATAGAGAGGTGATGATCACCAGGCATGGTTGTCAGGAGCCAGGTATTTCCAGTTCGCTTCAGGCCACATGACCGACGTGACCTCCTGACCACTTTAGGGTTGGGTAGAAGCACGTGACTAAAACTGGCTGAGGGATGAATAAAGAAATAATGTGATTAGTTTCCAGGCCAGAACATTCACATGCCAATATGACTTGGGAGAGCTTTCTCACATTCTACTATAACAACTGTCAATATGCTGGCTAAAGAATCCAGAATGATCCTGAAGCTTCTAGAAGGAGGACAATGCTAAGCAAAGCCCCAGCCACCTGTGGCAGACATCAGCACAAACAAGGAATAAACTTGTTGTTTACCTGATTGAGACACTAGGAGTGTTTATTAATACAGCATCATTTGGCTTATCTTGGTAATATAAGAATAGCATAAAATAAGATGGGGGACAGTAGAATGGAAAAACAAAGCAGAAACCAATAAACTAGAGGAGTGAAGCCCTACATAATAACTGTTAGCATGTTTCTGTATAACTTAATTTTATTCTAATATTAATTGAGTGTTAACTGATGGGCAATATAAAATACACTTCTTACTGTGTGTCAAACCTATTTGATAAATTGTATTGTAAAGGTCTTTCTGGAACACTGATCACATTATTTAAATGCAAATCTACTTTATACATTATGCAACATTTCTATAGCAAACTTATGATGTGTCAGAGAACTTTCAAATATTGTAATATCTCTTCATGTAACCCTAGAGAAAGTGTAAAGATTGGTATGTTTGCCTCCACTTACACATAGAATATTAGAGCCAGTTTATGTGAATTCCCCAATACCACACAGCTGAGTTATTATAGTCCTGAATTTCCTGACTTCTAACCCCTGGATTATTTCCACTGCACCTGAGGACAAGGTTTCTCTGAGAGTCCATTTCCCTTGGCTTTGGGCTAACAGGCTGGAGTTCTGTAGAACTGTACATTTTCTTTTCTGATTTATGAGCCCACAGGCTATTGCTTTCATTGATTTTTGCCTTTTTATTATTGTTTTACCTTATATAGATTTGTGTCATTCTGGCTCCAAGATGAAAACTGTATCCGTCAATGCCATGAGTATGGCTAATACATACAACTATTGTCATATAAAAGATTAAAGTGTGATAATGTGGCTTGGGTAAGTTGCTCCATTGAACTCTGGATTTCTGTAAAGTAAGATGTGTCTTGGATACACCCAATGGACCCTAGACTAGAGAGACATCAAACCCCACCCCACCCATTTCTTAATTGAGTGCAGGGCTTCAGGGATTCCAAGGGTCATTAACATGAATAAACTCACTCTGAGATTGGGGTGGATTTAAAAGACCACCAAATATAGGCATTTGATTATATTTGCCCTTAATTAAATGTTCCTGATTTAGGAAAAATGGGAGTCTGGCAGGGTAGTGGGGTTGTAATAGTCAGGATTAGAGAGCTGAGGAGTTTGCAAGTGGTAGAGACCCAACTCAGGAAAGCTGAAGCGACAAGAACACTGAGCATCTTGGATAATTAAAAATGTCTAAAACAGTGCCAGCTTCAGGAACAGCTGGAGCCTGGAGCTCAAGTGTGGTCAGGGACATGTCATGCTTCCTCTCTCAAACCTCCTCTCCTTGGCTTGGCCTCTTTTCAGTCTGGATTGTCATAAATTAGGATATAATTTTCTTAATGAGTGTCTCCTGCTTTTCCTCCAGCATGTTTATTCCTCAACCTCCTCTACTCAGAGGCAGACAATGGCCAAAGTGGCAGCTGGACCAGATGCCTTCCATCCAGTTTTCAGCAGCAGGCAGGCAGGATGATCTGTTTCCTAACTTGCCTTCCTCTGCCTTCAGCACAAGGAAACAGCCAGTGATGGAGTAACTGAACTTGAGGCAGCTCATGCTGGCAATGCACCTGCTAAGTATTAAAGTAGAAGCTGTTGTTTCCCCTACAGACATTTCTGTTTGGGTTTCTATAAATCACGTGCTACATATAGAAATCATGTTTAATTGAACACAATGAGCTGACTCAAAGCATATCAAAAAATTGTGGTGCACCATTTCCCATCCTTACCTGCCTTCCTGCTGGAACTTCCCAGGGAGGTACTGGCCAGGGCAAATCTTGCTCACCCTGCCCAAATATGCTGATAGATTTTTCGAATCCACAGGCTTTGTTTCTTCAGGATTGTTTTTTCTCTCTCACTCATCTATTCTTTCATAATTGAATCAAAAGTAAAACCTGCAAAAGGGATTCTAACACATGTCTTCAACCAGCAGCCTCATTAGACGGGAGGTCATTGCCTGGCCAAGACTTTTCAGCAATGATGCTCATTCCAGGATGAACATCAGGATAAAGCATCTATCCCAGAGGTCTGAAGAGCTGTTGACGGCACCTGGGCTCCTCAGGCCAGCAACACGGGCAGTGGAAACAGCAGAGTCTGGTGCCACAGAGGCAGGTCCAAAATATGTTTCTGTTACTTGTAACCTTGAAAAGTCATATATATTTGGATTCATATTTTATTTTTGTCTTAAGTGACATATCCTCCTATTATAATGTCTCATATTATCTTCTTTTTATTTCTTGATATTTTAGTTCTTGAAATGTAATGTATGTACATGCTGAAAAAAATAAAAGCACTAACAATTATCCAATAAAAAATAGGCTCACATTGGTGATATCCTAGTTCTTAAGCTAGGTTGTAAGAAAACGGGCATTTATTTTGCTCTCATTTCTTTATGTATGTACATCCTTATATATGTTTGTATGCGGGTATGTAGGTATATATGTATGCATGTGTGTATGTATGAAAGTCTCATTATTACTCTTGAAGCCAGTATTATATTATTTATATAATAAATTTATATAATAGTTTACCTCCCCATTTGTTTACAGATAAGAGATAGATTCACACATAAAATTGCACACGTATTAATATATCCTATTTTTTACATAAATACTTTTAAACTTTATAGTGTTCTACACTTACTTTTTATACTTAAACTTTCTTGGAAAATATCAGCACAAAAAATATGTGTATATTGAAATTTTTAAATGATTCTTTGGTCCTCTGTTTTAGAACCAGTTCCTCCATATTTTACCCAGGTGACTCCTACTGGTGAACATTTACATTGTTTGCACTCTGTTCCTGCTACATACAGTGAGGTAACGTGCATCCTTGAACAAAGGCTTGGGTGCACCATTTCCTATAGTATCTGTGGAATTAATGTAAACAGAGACATGCTGAGTCAAAGGATGTGACATTTAAAGCTTAATAGTCATTGTTGAGCTGGTGGAAGAAGCTTTTCCTTCAGCAAGTCTCAGGTGGCTCATCTGTAGAAAGCAAGCCATACCAGGTAACTCACAGGAGAAGGTACTTATGTGCCTCTCTCCAACAGGAAATCCCCATTGAGGACATCTGTTATCTTCTCCCTTTCTCTCCACTTGAGCCAATAATCCTCTCTCTGTCCCTAAGACAAGTCAAGGTTATTTATGCCCTGGGACATTTGCCATTGCTTGCAGATGTCTTGGAGCAGCCCCCACCTCACACCCCACCCAGATGCACTCATAGCCAATCACTTTTCCCAAGTCTCAACTCCTGGAGTGGCCTTCCTTGACGCTCAACTTACAATTGTGCCCCCTACTCTATCCTCAACCACTCTCTATCACATGACTCTTTGATTTTCTTCATAGCACACACTATTAGCTACAATCACTCTGTTGCTTCTGCATCCACTTGTTGATTTTCTGTCTTTCTCCAGAGTGTTAGCTCCATGAGTGCCAAGCCCTTGTCTTCCTTACTCACCATGCCTAACATAATGCCCAGTGCATGGAGCAGAGGGAATCATTACCAGCTGAATAAATAATTACTGAATGCATGAATGAATGAATTAATGATATAAGAAACTTGCCCATACCTGTTTTCCCTTTCAAGAGAGTTCAAAACTGAGAGAAACAGAGGCACCTAGAAAAACGAATGGCTTTCATAACTTCTCAATACCCAACCACAATTATTTATTGCTAATTATGAGGCATGTCTCTTCCATGCAACCTGAAAGACAAATACCAGGAAGCGTGTCCTGAATGATGGAGTAAAACCTTCCAAAAATCCACTCAACCAAAAAAGTAGTGAGAACACTGCCCAAAGTGGCCAAAATCACCCTTTTCAGGACTCTAGAAATTAATCAAAGTCTTGCAACAATCTGAAAAGAGTTTATTCAAGATAAATTGTTGAATGTGGTAAAACCAGTGAGTTGTGGGGCATTTTAATATTCTCTATCCCCATCATTCTCTCCCCAGTTCCACCATATCCTTTGAAATAAGTAGTCTCACAAATACGGTAGCTTTAGAAACCACACTAGAGCAGCCACTGGAGGGGTAAACTGGGTTTAGAGCTCCCCAAAGTCTCAAATCTCAGATAACTGTCATCACTGGAACTGTCAGCTCCCTGAAAAACTCCACTATAGATCTTATGTTTATTTGAACTGACTGAGCACTTGCTCAGAGAGAAAAGTCCTGTCCTCAGCAGGGGTGTGGGTGGAGGGAGATCTGGTTTTCATGGTTCTCATATTATATTATTTTAAATGTACAATTTTCAACAAAGAATAAGATATCGAAAAAAAGGTAAAGTATGACCCATGCACAGAGGTAAAACAAAACAGTCAATAGAAACTCTCCTTGAGGAAGCATAGAGGCTGAAATAAGTAGATTAAGGTTTTAAATCAAGAACTAGAAAAAGGCGACCAGGCCCACCACTTCTATTTAACATTTTGCTGGCAGTTCTACCAGCACAATTAGGGAAAAATAATAATAATTAAAAAGGTATTCAGATTTGAAAGAAAAAAATAATAAAACAATGTCTATTTGTAGATGACATGATGTTATATGTAAAAATCTTAACAGATTCATGGATGAATTACTCAAATTGATGAATGAGTTCTGTAAAATTTCAGGATACAAGATTAATATACAAAATTCAAATGCATTTCTACAGGTTAGCAATGCATATTCCAAAATGAAGTGAAGAAAGCAATTCTATTCATTATAGCATCAAAAATAGAAGTGAATTTAATAAAAGATGAATACAATTATTGCACTGAAAACTAGGAAACATGGAAAGTAGTGAAAGATGGTATAAATAAGTGAAAAAGTACATGTGAGTGGATAAGAAGACCTTAATATTGTTGAGATAGTAACCCTCAAATTGATCCTCAAATTGACCTACAGATCAATGTGATCTTTATTAAAATTCCAGTGGGTTTGGTTGGAGAGACCGATGTTATAAAATTCATACAGAAATGCAAGAGACCCATGGTATGCAAAACAATCATTAGGTGACATATCCACCAGAATCTCCTTTATCCAAAAAGGATTAAAAGGAGACAAGATCATTTTCCAGAAAGTGATGGGCATAGGGTTTCCATCTAAAGCATCTTTTCACTATGAGAGAATTCTCATCACTAAAGCAGTTTAGATCCAAAGGCAGAGAGCAGCAGCTTTCCTATGATCTCCCATCTTGCCTGCTCCTGATTCTCTGTGTTGAGCATGTAAACACCATCTCCCTGAAAACTGAAGGTGGAATCATAACCCTATCTTTTATTAAAGTTTTCCTTTTAAAAATATCCCATGCGTTTGTTTTCTGTACAGTGGGGTAGACTTGGCAGTACAAATGAGGGAGAAATATGTACCAACCAGTACTAGTTTGATAGGGCTGCCATAACAAAATACTACAGATGGGGTGCCTAGAGCAGTAGAAATTTTTCTTCTCACAGCTCTCGAGGGTGGAAGTTCAAATTCAAGATGTCAGCAGATTTGGTTTCTCCTGAAGGCTCTCTCCTTGGAGAGCAGATTGTGGCCTTCTTGCTGTGTTCTCACGTGGCCTTTCCTCTGTGCACTCACCCTTGGTGGCTCTCTGTGTATCCTGATCTGTTCTTGAAAGGTAACCAGTAAGACTGGATTATGGATGGACGTGGTGGCTCATGCCTGTAATCCCAGCACTTTGGGAGGTTGGCACAGGAGGATTGCTTGAGCCCAGGAGTTAGAGATCAGCCTGTGCCACATAGCGAGACTCCTGTCTCTACTAAAAAATAAAAATAAATAGCTGGGTGTGTTGGTGCATAACTGTAGTCTCACTCAGGAGACTGAAATCACTTGAGCCTGGGAGTTCAAGGCTGCAGTGCGCTGTGATTGCACCACTGCACTCCACTTCAGCCTGTTTTGAGACAGAGCAAGATTCTATCTAAAATAAAAAGAAAAAAAAAAGAAAAGATGGATTGTAGCCCACCTTAATGGCCCCATTTTATTTACCTCTGCAAAGATCCTATGTCTAAACACAGTCACATTCTGAGATACTGGGTATTAGGGCTTCAATATATGAATTTTGAGGAGACACAATTTAGTCCATAACACTCCTCCTCTTTCTGTCTTGTGTTCAGAGGAAAATGGCCTTCCCATGGCACTCTGGCACAAATGCATGCTAGTCTGGGCCAAGCCATGGCAATAGATAAATAGTCCTTTCCATGCACCAATCCGCACTGGAAGATAGATGGTGTGTCCTTCATTTCCTTGACCTGTGCTTCGTATATTGCCTGCTGCATCAACTTAGAAGAATGACATGGTGAATGGGGCAATGAGGAAACTGCAACTTGCTATTAATGATGCAGAAGTGCCAAGTCAGAGCAGTCGCAGTGACGTCAGCATGACATAAGGACCACTGTCATGCCCTGGCCATGTGAGCCATTTAACAGGATGGCCAACAGGGACAGCAGAGAGAAACACTGCCAGTGATGTCATCTGGAGGACCACTGGAGCAGGGCCGGCCCACAGGTGTCCAGGTGGCCTCAGGTCTATCTTTAGGAGACAGGTGCCTCTAGAGAAAGCATAGATCAGAAAAGCGTTGTCGAACATGGCTATAAGTCTTTGATTCATTCAAAAATATTTATTTAATACCTCTCATGTGTAAAGTCTAGAGATATAACAGTATATAAGACAAGAAATGATAATAATAAAAAATCAGGCCAGGAAATTTAAATGTGGCATTCAATAGTGCAGAATTCAAAGAAAAACATGGGGATTGTTGTCCATAGAACGTCAGTAGCAGTGACCATTGCAGAGAAGACTGCACTTAGAGCGACAAAGCCTTAGCACTGAGTGAATGGGGAGGAAACGGTGACTGCTTATGGAACATTTATGAAGATGGGGAAGTGTAGTCAGAAACACTGAGAATCAGTAGGCAGGTAGAAATCTCATGAAGCCAGTGGATATTTCTGCATCCATAAGGAGAAGTATATTATGCTCAAAATCCAAGTGATGCCTGCAAAGACTTGGTAACAGACAGATGATTGTCTGTGCTCTATCCCTTCCCAGGATCAATCCAATCCCCCTTTCTGGTAAGAGCATCAATATTTTCCTGTGTGCCTTTCACAGGATCAGACCATAGGGTCTGCATGAAGCTAGTCTCACCCCACGCCAGTTCCATGGGTGAAAAACTCCAGTGGTCTTCCAAATGGCATCACTGGCCATGTTTCTCTCTGCTGTCCCTGCTGACCATCTTGTTAAATGGCCCACATGGCCAAGGCATAACGGTGGTCCTTATGTCATGCTGACGTCACTACGACTGCTCTGACCTGGCACTTCTGCATCATTAATAGAAAGTTGCAGTTTCCTCATTGCCCCATTCACCATGTCATTCTTCTAAGTGAATGCAGCAGGCAATATACGAAGCACAGGTCAAGGAAATTAAGGACAAGTATTCACTCAACTCTGGTGAATTAATTCTATAAGCTCTGACTAAGATCACTAATTGCAGAGTAACTGGAGTGGTCACAGAACACTGTGGGCATAGTAGCCCTTATAGAAACAGAACTTTGTCAGCCAGGCATGGTGGCTCATGCCTGTAATCCCAGCTCTTTGGGAGGCTGAGACAGGCAGATAATCTAAGGTCAGGAATTCAAGATCAGCCTGGCCAACATGGTGAAATCCTGTCTCTACTAAAAATCCAAAAATTAGCCAGGCATGGTGGCGTGCACCTGTAATCCCAGCTACTTGGGAGGCTGAGGCAGGAGAATCACTTGAACCTGGGAGGCCAAGGTTTCAGTGAGCCAAGATCATGCCACTGCACTCCAGCCTGGGTGGCAGAGTGAGATTCTCTCTCAAAAAAAAAAAAAAAAAAAGAAAAGAAAAAGATAAAAGAAAAGAAATAAATAGAAGTTTGTGAAAGCAGCAGTCTTGCAGGTCTGCACGGTTGAAAAGGTCATCGAGGTCCAGTGTCAGGGAACTTGCAGCCTCGTAACCCATCCAGCCCATCTTGGGTTGTGAAATTCCTCACTGGCTGTCCCACCCCTAAATCCTAGCTAACCTGGGCAAGCTGTTTACAGTAAGGCAGCTCATACTTTGTCTTCACCAATGAGCATTGGCTCCAAAAAATCATCCCAGACATCTTTGAGTTTCAGAGTCAAGTTTGTGCCTGTATTTAAGCTCAGACAGCTCAGATACACTGTCCAGCTTCCGTATCACAGGCAGTTTAGGTAAGTGTGTTAGAATAATGGTCCTCCAAAGACATCCAGGTTCTAATCCCCAGAATCTATGAATATGTTACCTTACAAAGCAAAAGACAATTATGTTTTCAGATGGAATTCAGATTTCTAATTAGTTGATATTGAAATGGGAAGATGCCCCTGGGTTGTCTGGGTGGGCCCAACACACCACAAGAGTCCTTACAAGGAGAAAGGGAGGTTGGAAGGTGAGACCTTGACCTCTGACACTGCTGGCTTTGAAAATAGAGGGACAAGACCATGATCCCATGAGTGCAGGTGTCCTCTGGACACCAGGAGTGGTCCTCAGTTTAAAGTTTACAGCAAACAACAACAGCAAATAGGAACCCTGATCCTACAATCACAAGGAACTGAATTCCACCAACAACCAGGAAGGGCAAGGAAACAGATTCTTCCTTAGAGTTTCCAGAAGGACACACAACCCTGCCCATGCCTGGATTGTAGCATGACGAGGCCCATTTTCAGTTTTCAGAATCAGACCTACAGAACAGTAGGCTGATACTTTTTTTTGTTGTTTTTGTTTCTGTTTTTGTTTTGAGATAGAGTCTTGCTCTGTTGCCCAGGTTGAAGTGCAGTGGCGCAATCTTGGCTCACCACAACCTCTGCCTCCCAGGTTCAAGTGATTCTCCTACCTCATCCTCCCAAGTAGCTGAGATTACAGGCGTCTGCCACCACACCTGGCTAACTTATATATATATATATATATATTTTTTTTTTTTTTTTTTTTTTTTTTTTTTTTTTTTTTTTTTTTTGTGGAGACAGGGTTTCACCATGTTGGCCAGGCTGGTCTCAAACTTGTCACATACATTGGGAGCTTCATCAGCGTGTGACTACGGGCCTGCCCTCAGGTAGTTTACAGTACAGAGGGACAGAATGAAAACACAAGTGAACAACAGGGACCAGGCAGCCCACATGGTTCCCTATTTGTTCTTCAGTACCTCTATGCTTTGAAGAATCAGATTGATGTCACTGTTTTTAGGAAATGACCCATTTTAGCTTTACCATTCCATTACACTCTGTAGCAGTCTGCCATTGCCTTGTAACAAAGACATATGCAGAGACAGCAATGTTGGAGAATGCTATTCCCTCACTCCTTGGCAGGTCTGCAGGGTAGCAGTGTCCCTGACACACAGCTAGCAGACAGAAAGCAGGGCTGTCTCTTCCTACCAGAATGGACTCACGTCCCTGCAGAAGCTGGCCTGGTTTCTCCACAGCTGCCTCTCAACTGAGAGTTCTGAACCACCTACAAGGGATACTCATAGGAAAAGTCTGCTGTGGTTGTAAAATCACAGAGTGGCTGCATGCATCTCCCAGGGGTTAGATGGTGTTCTGTTCCATTAGGTTTCCAGCTGCTGAGCAGCTCACTGTGCTAAGTCACTTCCTCTCTCTCCAAGATTCCCTCCCCTGGAAGGAGAACATGATTTCATAATTGCTGTCTATAAATGAGCTGCCTCAGTGGCCAAAGGTAAATATTTTTCAAAGGAAGACATGTTTTTGGGAAAATAAAAAGATTGGCAGATTAGCCCTAAAGTCCACAGCAACGCTTGTTATTTTTATTTTTTTCTAAATATCCTTTATCCCTTTTCTGCACTCTGGAAAGAACCCAGTGCTTCCACACCTGATTCTAAATAAATGAAGGCACCCTCACTCCCCTTAAGGGCATCCGTGTTTCAAGCTCAGCCTTTAATTATGAGATAATCCTTCATTTCTCATTAAAGAAATTTCTGCCAGAAAGTGGAAGTCTGTTATTGTATATGAAACACTTCCCAGGGCCATAATGAGCTCAGTGATGCCAACAACTGGGTATTAAACCTTCGTCTAGGCCCAGCTTCAATCCCAGTGCCTGTCACACAGGGCCATCAATCAATGCTTATTGAACAGATGATGGATGGAAACCTCTTATAATTATATAGCACCTTACTTTTTATAAATATGTTGAGATTTCCAATCCAATACAGTAGATTGAACCCATGATTGGCGTGGTGGTTAGTGCTTGTAACATCAGCACTTTGGGAGGCCGATGGGGGCAGATCACTTGAGGTTAGGAGTTTGACACTAGCCTGGCTAACATGGTGAAACCCCATGGTGGCAGGTGTCTGTAATCCCAGCTACACCAGAGGCTGAGGCAGGAGAATCTCTTGCACCTGGGAGGCGGAGGTCGCAGTGACAGAGAACATGCCACTGAACTCCAGCCTGGGAAATGGAGCAAGACTCCATCTCAAAAATAAAATAAAATAAAATAAAATAAAATAAAATAAAATAAAATAAAATAAAATAAAATAAAATAAAACAAAACAAACACTTTGGAAGATGACAAGCAGATGAAGCAATGGCCAATGACGAAACAGGCAGGATAATCTTCATATAGAACTAAAATGTAATGAACATGGGAATTGGAAATTCACTACACCATATAAATGGTATAAACTCTTTAAAGTAATGTGAATAAAAATAATTAGTAATGGAGGCAGGGGAGGAAGGGAGAGGGTGGTAGTTCCTTCATCTTCCAAGCACGAAACTCAGCCGACTAGCTTAAATGACCTTGAAACATGTAAAACAACAACAGTAACAGCATTTTTAATGATGGTGCTAAACACTGCATTAATTTTATCTTAAGCCTTTCCCCCCCAATCTTA